>NC_000005.10:162427990-162731020 GCF_000001405.40 Homo sapiens
ATTATATTCTGGAATCTGTACTACACTTTGAGAATACAATGATAAGCAAAGCAGACAGCCACTTTCCTTATAAGGCTAATCATTTAGTAGACAGACAATAAAATTAAAGAGACAATACATATTATGAGTAGGGTTTTGTAAGAAATGAACATTTCAGTGTAACAGAAGACAGAAATCAGGGATATTAAAGGAGATTGGAAAGTTTTCTGTGAGGAGGTAACATTTAAGGTGAGACAGAAAGGGTGAGGTAGAGCCAGCAGCTGTGGTAGTTGTGTTCTAAGAATATTCCAGGCAGAAGAAATAGGTTACATCTAAACTTTGATGCATCATTAAAAAAATTAACTTTTCTTTTTTCGGTACTTTATTGATATAGTTGTACATATTTTGGGTATACATGTGATGTTTTGATACCCGTATACTATAATGAGTATAATATTTGTACCCATTAACCAACTTTTCTTCATCCACCATATCCCCCAACTTTTCCAGGCTCCAATAGCCACCATGCTACTCTCTACTTCCATGAGATCGACTTTTTTAGTTCCCACACATATGTTTTTCAAGGAATGGAGAAAGAGTTAATGTGGTTACAAGACAGTAGTAGGGAAGAGGAGTCAAGATGGAACGGAGGGCTAAAGATTAGTTGGATTGTTCATAACCTTGAGAATAAAAATTAGATTTATTCAAAATTTTAGGAAGCTTTGGCAGGCTTTAGTTGAAGGCCTAATGTGATGAAATTTGTGTACTAAAAAGATTATTCTGGGGGTTGCTATATGGAGATGGGATTGGAAGGGTAGTTAGGAGATCCAAAAATTTTGTATTGTCCTAAAAGAGTAAGAATTGACAGTGCCTTGGTCTAGGCTCTAGGGTGGTAGCAATGAGATGAGAAACTGACAATAGAGAGGAATCATGATTGAAAATTCTAATTCATGATTGCTAAATACAGTATCTGGTATTATTAAATTAGTTTATCTTATGTGATGCTAAGATCGTAAGTTTGGTCTGAGATTGTTCTGTAAGCTTTTTCATTCTATGGCATTGTGTGTACAGAACAGGACTAAGACAGATGGATATTCAGGAGATACTGGGTGTAATGGCATAGTTGGTTAAATGGAGTATTTTCTCTACTGAAAGTCAGTTCTCCAGAACCTGTTCACTATAAGCCCATGCAATCATTCATTTGACAGTGGGGTTGGCAACTTTTCCTTAAAGTGCCAGATAGTAAATATTTCAGACTTTATGGGCCATCCAGTCTTTGCCACAACTACTGAACTCTGTAGTTGTAGCAACAAAGCAGTTTTAAACAATGTGTAAATGAATGGGTGTGACTATGTCTTAATAAAACTTTTTTAAAAACAGGCAGGAACCATGATTTTGTCTTCAGGCTATGGTTGGCCTACATCTGATTTATCATGTGAATAATGTACTTACCATTAACCAGACTTGTTTTAGTTGAGCCTATTATTACATTACACCTCATCTTACTCACATACATCTGGATCAAAGTTAGTATTTAAGACTTTTCTAAAGAATACCACTGAAATAAATGAATACTTTTAAGAAAAAACAGGGATGTTAAAATTTATCATGATTTTATCAGTGGATCTAAAAATGATAAATATTTGTTTTCATATCTCAGCCTATTTGCCCTTGAAGACCCAAATATTTATTTCTGTGGGAATTCTCACCAGCTCTTCTACTTACCCTCTAAAGAATCATTTTACCTATTCTCTATGACTTCCTAGATTTCAGTTCATAAATACATTATAGGACTCATTCAATTTTATTACAAGTGTTCACTTATGGAACTGCCGTGTTCATCATGCTTCGAGTTTCTTGTGGGTGAGCACTATTTCTTATTTATTGGTCATTTAGTTTTCATTTTAAAACAATGCTTATTAGATACCAGCTATATATAGGTACCATTCTAAGTACTGAGGAAATAATAATGCATAACATAATATTTTGTGTTATAATAATGATACAAAAAGCAGGGTAGTTTTTCTCACAGTAAAGCAGATATTACACAAGGGAATCGATATTTTGTATTGCAGTTTGAAAGATCTATTAAGAAATTATAACGGATGACATAAAGAATGTCCAAGATCTGGGACAAAGCATTTTACTCTTTCCTCTCTGAAAAAAGTGTTACCATCAGCATCTACAAAGGCCCTGAGATCAAACTGATTTTGACAAGTTATAGAAACAGAAGGAAGGGCATTATGGCTACAGAGTTGATGAGGAGTTGAGGAAATGGGCAGGAGCTGGTAGTAGGGAGCCTTACAGGCAAAACTGTGGCAAATGGTATTTTCCAAAAACCACTACAGTAAACCACCTGCCTCACAGGCTCTTCCAAAACCCTGCCACTTCTCCCATCAATAAATGGCACCAAATCCCCTTTGCTGGAGCCTAGATGGGTCTTTATGACTGCCTTGAGCAGTAGAATAATGCAGAAGTGACATTCTGTACATTTTAAAACAAAGTGATATGTTTTCTAGTAGGTTCTCTTTCAGGGTGCTCACCCTTGTACCTCACCCATCCTAAGAAGAGGAAGCCACCTTAAGAGTCCCATGCTGAGAGGAACTGAGGCTCCTGGACTCCCACATATAACTGACCAGCATGCAATTGCTGTTTTGGGGAGGGTGTACAACTGGAATGTATAAGTTAACCTCATTTTATAATCTGCATCTGGGACAAATAAAGTCCTTATTAAATCAATATTGATATTGATGGAATCACAGAAGGAAATGCAAGCAAGTCATAATTACAGAAATGACTTTCTCTGGGTAAATGAGGTCATAAAACCCTAGTGACACTAATCTTAGCCATAATTTTTAAATGTACTTGTATTCGCACATTTATCACTTCATTTATCATTTGTAATAGGCCTTATTTTTTAGAGAAGGTTAGGCAAAATTGAGCAGAAGGTACAGATTTCCATGTAACTCATGTTCCCACACATCCATAGCCTCTCTCATCATGAACATTATTTTCTTTATTTTGCATTTTGAAACATAAATTCATATTTGATCCATTGTTTCTTACATTTAAAAGTTGCCTTCAATTATTGAATGTTTTATACATTTCAAATACATTTTTATTGAAGCGTGACATGCATAATAAAACGTGGACCATAATAAAAGTGCACAGGTTGATGAATTTTCACAAAGAGAACACATCTGTGAAGCAAGTATCTAGATTGAAAAATTAAATATTACCACAGCCCAGCTGTCCCCTCCATGCCACTCCTAATCACGAAGCCTACCCCAAAAATAATAGCTTATCTGACTTCTAACATCATAGGTTAAGTTTGCCCAATTTGAAATGTTGAGTTAATGGAATCATACACAACAAACTGTGCTATGATTTTCATCATACTATACTGTATAGATACATTTCATTAATTCTCATTATTATACAATATTTTCTGTATGTATTTATCACAATTTACATACATAATACTCTCGATGGATATTAGGGTTGTTTCCAACACTATGAAAAATTATTGCTGCTGGGAACATACCTAGGAGTAGAACTGTGGTGTCATAAACTGCATATACACTGCATTTAAGAAAATGTTTCAGAGCAGTTGTATTAATTTTACTAATTTACACTCCCACCATCAGTGAGTGAGAATTCCTATTGCTCCACATTCTCACCAATGCTTCGTGTTGCTAGTCTTTTTTTATTTTAGCAATTCTGGTGAATATATAGCAGTATCTCCTTGTGGTTTTATTTGCATTTCCTGGTGACTAATGCTGTTGAACACATTTTCATATGTTTATTGTCTATTTGGGTAGCCTCTTTTATGAAATGTCTGTCAAGTCTGTCCAGATATTCTATTAGATTGTTTACCTCCTTGTTATTGATTATAGAAAAAAAAAATATATATATAGACATTCATTCCAGGTATGTCCTTCCTTGCATACAAGTATTGCACATATTTTCCCCCACCGTGTGTCATAATTTTTCACTCTCTTAATTATGTCTCTCAATTAGCAGAATTTTTTTATTTAATATAATTAAATTACATTTTTTGCTTTATAATTAGTGACTGTTGGCATACTATTTAAGAAATATTTGTCTACCTCCAGGTAATAAAAATATTCTGCTGTGTTTCCTTTGAGAAACATTTTATAATTTGATTCAGAATCCATCTACAATTGAATTTTTGTACCAATACCTATTTTTCCCATATGTGTATCAGATTTAATCCATACCCTTATATGAATGAAACCACATTTTATGTTTTCTTTTGTGATCGATATTTTCCACTTCATCTATTTCTTATAAGATTAAATCATGTTGCTTTATCTAGTAATAGTGTATTTTTCTCATAGCTGTATAATACCACAGTAGATCTACACCCTATCATTTACTTACGCATTTTGCTTAGTAATATATCTAGATCACTTTTAGTTATCCAGTTGTTATAAATATTAGTGTTGTGATCACTCTTTTCAGTTGGTGCACATATGTGTGTATCTCATTGAACATATACCTAGGAGTCAAATTTATGGGTTAGATGTTAGGCACATGTTTAGATTTAGTAGTACTGAAGAAGCATTTCTCAAATAGTTTATAATTTTACTACCCAAATAGCAATATATGAATATCTGAGTTTTCTAATTCATCAAATCAATTGGTATTTGTTCTTTCTTTTACATTTTTGTTCTTCTAGTGCTATGTTGTGATATTTCTTGTCATTGTAATTTGCGTTTCTCTGATCAGAAAGCTAGTATAGTTGAATAATTTCCTGTATATTTACTGGTCATTTGAATATCCTCTTTTGTGAAATCCCTATTCAAAATAATTTAAAAAATGGAGGATTACTTTGAATTATTATCTCCAAAATAATTGAAGGGAGATAATTCTATGAGATTATTTCCCTTTTTCCTACTGATTTTTAGGTTTTTTTATTTTTAAGATTTTAAAAATATATTCTGTATGCAAGTCCTTTGTGTAATGCATGGGTTGTAACCATATTCTCTCAGCCAACAGTTTGGCCTTTTTCCTCTCTAATGGTATTTCTTTTTTTTCTTATTGTAAATTTTATGTTACAGTTTTTTTGTGTGGGTGCATAGTAAGTGTTCATATTTATGGGGTACATGATATATTTTGATACAGGCTTGCATAATAATAACTAACATCAGGGTAAATGGGGGTATCTGTCTCCTCAGGTATTTATCCTTTCTTTGTATTACAAATAATCCAATTAAACTCTTTTAGTTATTTTTAAATGGACAATAAATTATCATTGACTGTAGACAGCCTGTTGTGCTATCAAATACTAGATCTTATTCATTCTACCTAGGTATATTTTTGTACCCATTAACCATCTCTACTACCCCCAACCCCACTAACCTTTCCAGCCTCTGGTAACCATTGTTCCACTCTCTATCTTGATGAGTTCAACTGTTTTAATTTTCAGCTTCCAGAAATAAGTGAGAACATGAAAAATTTGTCTTTCTGTGCCTGGCTTATTTCATTTAACATAATTACTTCCAGTTTCATCCATGTTGTAAATGCCAGAATCTCATTATTTTATGGCTGAATAGTACTCAGTTGTGTATACATACCACATGTTTTTTATCCATTTGTCTATTAATGGACACTTGGGTTGTTTTCAAATCTTGGCTATTGTTAATGGTGTTTCTTAATAATATTTATAAAGACAATCTGGTCTAATTTTTTCATTTAAAAATTTTTGAGATAGCACTTTTGTCTAAAGAAAAAAATCTTTGCTAATCTCCAAATTATGATTTCTTTCTCTTTTCTTTTAAATATCCCACATATTAATAATGAATAAAAATCCTATCTTACACTCTGTAAGAGTCATAATCAGACTGAGTCATAATAGGTTATAGCAACAGGGTTTTGGCATGAATAATTACAAAAAAATATCAAATGTGTGTGTTTCTCTGTGCCAACCCCAACTGTGTTCTTTTTACTAATAAAATACCTTGAAAGTACCTATTTCTACCAAGTTCCAAGAGTAGGATACCTCTTATTTCATGGTTAGCATTTGATTAACTTTCTGATGATCTGAAAGTTTAAAGGAGCTGGAATGAACCAGTTCTATAATTGTCATTTTTATTTCTGAGATTTATATTACCAAATATGGACTACAGATCTAAAACTGGGGTCTGTGTAGTCAAGGGAACTGGGAAAGGAAAGTTAAACTTTATTCCTTAAGGTTTATGAATTGTCTAATTCCTTCCAAGTGTTTCATTCTCACTGATTAAGAACCCCCCTTTGAAACAGTAGACTGTTTTCAAGTATAAGTTTGACAGAAATTTTTTAAAGGCTCTTTTTCTTAATGACATGCACAGACAGATTCACATACAACAGATGCTCGGTCACTCACTCAAACTTCTGATCATTTTCCAACACTTCAGACTGAATGATTTTGACTGCCATTTGTTCCAGACCAAAGACTTTAAGGCCAGAAGCAAATGTCTTTTAAATTCCATGTGATTAATGTTCCCCAACAGTGTATTTGTCACTTCCAAAAACTCCACATGTTGTTCTCCAAGGCAAACCTACCCTAAACTGATCTGGAGAAGAAATGAGGCATGTTGAATAAGCACTGTTAGATTTTAATGTGACTGAAACTCAGTAATCCTCACTGTTGGAAATTAAACATCAAGTTCCTGAAGCAGAGACAGGAACTAAAATCTTACCTCATTTGTTTTCTTATGTGTAGGTTCACTAAGAAAGGTGATGGCACCAATGTGTCAATTTGATCAATGAATAATAAATAATGTGTTACGTCATGTAGATGTCACGTAGTAGAATGAACCCTGTTTCATCAAGTTTGCGTATAATTGCTAAGAGAAATAAGATCAAATTTCTAATTTGGCAATGTTCTGAGAAAGGCAACCTATCATTTTTTTTTTGTTCCCCCACCCCCTTAGCGTTTCAAGCTCTCAATTCTATCCTTCTCAGCAAAATGAATTTTAAGCTTAAAAACTCTTCTTACCTTAGAATTATGCTTTTTACTGTGTGATCTTGGACACTGAAATGAAAATGGAAGCTATTCATTCACCTTTAAACACCATAAAACTCATTTTTATAAAATTCACTTTTAATTCATGATATTACTTAAACACAATTTACTTAGTGCCATGGGAAATGCAGGAAATAAGAATCGATCCCTTGGAACTCATAAAACTCTTTCCTTTTTAAGCTCATCTATTAAATATCTCTTCTGTGAAAAGATAACAGAAAACAATTTTATGTTGATATTATCAGATACTCAGGCTCCGGATGGAACAGAGAAAATCCCCTAGACAAGCACCATCCTACAGCAACATAATGCCAACCACAAATGTGTGCAAATGTATGTCATTTAACAATTTTTAGTAGACACATAAAGTACACCAAAGTAGGTAAAATTAATTTAGTAATATCTTTTATCTGGTCCAGTAATCAACATATTATCATTTCAATATGTAATCAATATCATTTATTAATAAGATATTTGCATTTTTGATATGAAATCTTTGAAATACAGTGTTTGTTTTAAGCTTTCAGTATATATCAATTTGGATTAATTAAATTTCGAGTGTCCAGTGCCCACATGTGGCTGGTGGCCACCAAATTGAGCAGTACAGCTCTAGCACATTTGAATTTACTTCCCAAGATGGAAACACTTGGAATAAAATCTTATATTTTATATCTATCTTTACTGTTTACTTTTCTAATGGCTCTTTTTGCTTTTCATTTATTTTTATTTTTTATTTTTTTCTGGAGATGAGGTCTTGATATGTTGCCCAGGCTGGTCTCAAACTCCTGGGCTCAAGAAATCCTCCTGCCTCAGCCGCCCCAAGTGCCAAGATTACAGGTGTGAGCCACCATGGCCAGCCCCATTACTTTCATAGTCACTGAATTATAATCCCAATCAATTCTTGTTTTATTTTCCTTCAAGCTGGTAAAAGAAATTACTAGAATTACAACATTTTGATAGCAAGGTATGGATTCCAGAAAAGACATTCAATTACTGATGATTATTGATATCATTTTAATTTAAAGCTTTCTTTTAATAGAATTTGTTGTCTTCAATTGTTTTGTCTGGGATGAAAGTTATGTCTGCCACCTGCACATTATGTGAATGTAGGCAACTTATTTTGAATTTCTAAGTTTAGCTTCCTCATTCCTAAAATGAAGAAATAATATATTTTTTTCTTTTTTTTTTTTAAGACAGAGTCTCACTCTGTTGCCAGGCTGGAGTGCACTGCGTCCGGCCAGAAATAATATTTTTTTCATAAGATTGTTCAGCAAATTTCATGAGGTCATGCTTATATACTTAGTACAGGGCCTGGCACATTATAAGAGCTTACTATACACAAATAAACATTCTTGTTTAACAGGCATTTTTCATCAACTAGATAACATCAGCATTTTATTTGACTTTTTCATTTACCATGAGATGCAGAAAGGATATTATAAAGTTATTTAATTTGCATATCTGATAAACAGAAAACATTTTATTCAAAGTATCCCTGTGCTCAAATAGCAAGGCCTCACAGGCCTTCTTTAACATAATTGACTCTCATTCAAACTACTCACATTTTTTTTTAATTATTATTATACTCTAAGTTTTAGGGTACATGTGCACAATGTGCAGGTTAGTTACATATGTATACATGTGCCATGTTGGTGTGCTGCACCCATTAACTCATCATTTAGCATTAGGTATATCTCCTAATGCTATCCCTCCCCCCTCCCCCCACCCCACAACAGTCCCCAGAGTGTGATGTTCCCCTTCCTGTGTCCATGTGTTCTCATTGTTCAATTCCCACCTATGAGTGAGAAGATGTGGTGTTTGGTTTTTTGTTCTTGCGATAGTTTACTGAGAATGATGATTTCCAATTTCATCCATGTCCCTACAAAGGACATGAACTCATCATTTTTTATGGCAGCATAGTATTCTATGGTGTATATGTGCCACATTTTCTTAATCCAGTCTATCATTGTTGGACATCTGGGTTGGTTCCAAGTCTTTGCTATTGTGAATAATGCCGCAATAAATATACATGTGCATGTGTCCTTATAGCAGCATGATTTATACTCCTTTGGGTATATACCCAGTAATGGGATGGCTGGGTCAAATGGTATTTCTAGTTCTAGATCCCTGAGGAATCGCCACACTGACTTCCACAATGGTTGAACTAGTTCATGGTTCCACCAACAGTGTAAAAGTGTTCCTATTTCTCCACATCCTCTCCACCAACTGTTGTTTCCTGACTTTTTAATGATTGCCATTCTAACTGGTGTGAGATGGTATCTCATTGTGGTTTTGATTTGCATTTCTCTGATGGCCAGTGATGGTGAGCATTTTTCGTGTGTTTTTTGGCTGCATACATGTCTTCTTTTGAGAAGTGTCTGTTCATGTCCTTTGCCCACTTTTTGATGGGGTTGTTTATTTTTTTCTTCTAAGTTTGTTTGAGTTCATTGTAGATTCTGGATATTAGCCCTTTGTCAGATGAGTAGGTTGCAAAAATTTTCTCCCATTCTGTAGGTTGCCTGTTCACTCTGATGGTAGTTTCTTCTGCTGTGCAGAAGCTCTTTAGTTTAATTAGATCCCATTTGTCAATTTTGGCTTTTGTTGCCATTGCTTTTGGTGTTTTAGACATGAAGTCCTTGCCCATGCCTATGTCCTGAATGGTTATGCCTAGGTTTTCTTCTAGGGTTTTTATGGTTTTAGGTCTAACCCAAACTACTCACATTTTTTCAACACTGATTTTTTTCTTCCTGATTTATACAAGCAATTTAACTACATAAGATTTTAAGGTAACTTTTGACCCATCAACAGCTGATTACAGGAATACCTCAGTTTATTATACCTCACTTTATAGTACTTCACAGATACTGCGTTTTTTTTTTTTTCCAAATTCAAGGTTTGTGGTGACCCTGCATTGAGAAAGTCTATCATTACAATTTTCCCAACAGCTTGTGCTGACTTTGTGTCTCTGCTTCACATTTTGGTAATTCTTGCAATTTTGCAATATTTCATGCTTTTATATTACCATTATATCTGTTGTGATAATCTGTGCTCAGTGATCTTTGATATTACCCTTGTAATTGAGGGTGCAACTGACCATGCCCATATAAAAAGGCAAACAATTCTCTCTCTCTTTTTTCTTTTTTCTTTTTTTTGTTTTTTAGAAATGGTGTTTAACTATGTTGCCCAGGCTGGAATACAGTGGCTATTCACTGGCATGATCACAGAGTACTACAGCCTCAAACTCCTGGGCTCAAGCCATTCTCCCGCCTCAGCCCCCAGAATAGCTGAGATTACTGGAATTAGCAACCATGCTTGGCCAGAAGACAAACTTAATAAATACGTATTGTGTGTGTTCTGACTCCTCCACTAAGGCTGTTCTCCCATCTCTATCCCTTTCTTTGGGTGTCCCTGTTCCCTGAGACACAACAATATTGAAAATAGGCCAATTAGTAACCACACAATTGCCTTTAAGTATTCAAGTAAAAGAAAGAGTTGCATGTCCCGCTCTCTAAATCAAAAGCTAGAAAATGATTAAGCTTAGTGAGGAAGGCAGGTGGAAAACTGAGAAAGGCTGAAGGCTAGACCTCATCAGCCCAACAGTTAGCCAAGTTGTGAGTGCAATGAAAAGTTATTGAAGAAAATTAAAGATGCTACTCCAATGAACGTACAAATGATAAGAAAGTGAAATGGCCTTATATCTGATATAGAGAAAGTTTGAGCGGACTGGATAGAAGATTAAACCAGACACATTTCCTTAAAAACTACAGCTAATCTACAGCAAGACCCTAACTCTCTTCACTTCTATGAAGGCTGAGAGAGGCAAGAAAACTGGAGAAGAATAATTTGAAGCTAGCAGAGGCTCGTTAAAGAGGTTTAAGGAAAGGTACCATCTCCATAACATAAAAGTGCAAGATGAAGCAACAAATACTGATGTAGAAAGAAGCTACAGCAAATTACCGAGAATATTTTGCTGAAATAATTGATGAAGGTGACTACACTAAACAACAGACTTAAAATGGTGACAAAATTGCCTTCTATTAGAAGAAGATGCCATCTAGGACTTTTATAGCTAAAGAGGAGAAATCAATTCCTGGCTTCAAAGCTTCTAAGGACAGGCTAACTCTCTTGTTAGAAGCTAATGTGGCTGGTGACTTTAAATTGAAACCAATATACTACTCATATAACACTCTGAAAATATTAGGGCCCTCAAGAGTTATGCTAAATTTACTCTGACTGTGCTTTATAAATAGCACAACAAAGCCTGAATAATAACACATGTGTTTACAGCAGGGACTACCATATATTTTATGCTTACTGCCAAGGCCTACTGCTCAGAACAAATGAGTTGTTTCAAAATATTACTGGTGATTGATAATGCAAAGGGTCACCATAGATATCTGATGGAGATGTACAAGAAGATTTACAGTGTTTTTTTGGGGGGGTGGGAGGGGGCGGTGCTCCTAGAACATCATCCAATCTGCAGCCCATGGATCAAGTAGTAATTTTGGCTTTTGAGTCTTATGATTTAAGTAACACATTCTGTAATGGATCTGGGTAAAATAAATTGAAAACCTTCCGGAAAAGATTCGTCATTCTAGATGTCATTAAGAACATTCATGATTCAGGGGAGGAGGTCAAAATATCAACATTAACAGAAGTTTGGAAGAAGTTGATACCAACCATCATGAATGACTGTAAGGAGTTCAAGACTTTAGTGGGGGAAAGTCACTACAGATGTGGTGGAAATAGAAGGAGAACTAAAATTAGAAGTGCGGCTTGAAGATGTGATGGAATTGCAATCTCGTGATAAAACTTTAATAGATAAAGAGGTATTTCTCATGGATGAACAAAGAAAGTGGTTTCTTGAGATGGAATCTACTCCCGGTGAAGATGCTGTCAATATGGTTGAAAAGATAACAAAGGAATTAGAATATGCCATAAACTTAGTTAATAGAGCAGCGACATGGTTTGAGAGGAGTGACTCCAATTTTGAAAGAAGTTATACTGTGGGTAAAATGCTACCAAACAGCATTGCATACTACAGAAAAATCTTTCATGAAAGGAGGAGTCAAGAGATGTGGCAAGCCTTATTGTTGTCCTATTTTAAGAAATTGCCACAGCCCCCAGCCTTCAGCAGCTACCACCCTGATCAGTGAGCACTCATGGAGGCAAGACCATCCACAGCAAAACAATTACAACTCCCTGAAGGCTCAGATGTTAATTAGTAATCTTCAACAATTAAGATCTTTTAAATTAAGGTATATACTTTAAATATATGTACACACATATATATAATGCTATTGCACACTTAATAGACTGCAGTATAGTGTAAGCATTTCTTCTACATGCACTGGAAAACCAAAGAGTTCATGTGACTTGCTTATTCCAATATTCAGTTTACTCTGGTGGTCTGGAACTGGGTCCATAATATCTTTGAGATATAGCTGTATAATGTTAAGTACAATTTTGCTCTTGTGGATTTTACTAAAAGAGAAATAACTTTATTTAAAATACAGGTAAGTTCCCAATTAATCAAAATATCAATTAATTGGAATATTTTCCAAATTATGTTAGAGAGACGAGAGAGTGCAATTCCATCTATTTCATTTATATCTCATAAGGATGATTTCTGCAACTTTTTCTAATTTTGTTTTATCACCATTCCACCCACTTACCAGATATATTCTCCATACAGCACCCAGCACCTTTTCAAAAACATAAATCAGATCCAATCATTTTTATATCAGAAAGCTTACATTATATTCAGAATGCAACCAAACTCCCTAAAAGGCACCACTGAGCAGATTCTGTTCTATTGAATATCCACACTGGCCTTTCTTTCCTTTGAAATCTTGATCCTCAGTTGATCACCTCTTCCTGGAATATTCTGCTCCCTCTTAATGTTCAGCACTTATTTTAAATGTCACCTCTTCAGAGTACTTTTCTCTGAACAAATTACCTAAAGAAACAATCTAATTAAAAGCTTAGTTATCCTCTCTCTCATTCCGTCATTCTCTATCTTATTATTGTCTTCTACACGACTGCTCTCACAATCTGAGATGATCATATTTGTGTATTTCTTGGTCTATTTAAGGTCCTCTCCTTCACCAATAAAATATGAATCCTTGTGGGGAAGGAGCACATCTATTCTATTCCCTAGTGAATCCCCATACTTAGGAAGGTGCCAGGCACATAATACTTGTTCAATAATTTTTTTTGAAAAATTAACAAATTTCATACAAGAGAAAATATTTGGCCTTGCTTTATATCTTTTTGAGTCCCTTTACTCTAATTCTAGTAGGCTTAACCTGAAAAGTGTATCACAATGGATCTGCATAATGGAGGAAAATTTCAGGTAAATATAATCATCCATACAGTTTATTTTTCCTTAAACCTAGCAAATATCCAGCTAAAAATGTAAGGCAGCTTAATTTTTCTTTGCCCTTTTTTGTGCATAATTTTTTTTTAGGCATTTGTGGGGAGGTTCAAAGACTTATGCTAAAATAGAATTTAGATCTCCCACAGCTGACTTTCAAAATTAAATTATAACTCATTAACACTGTATTGTTTTTGCTAATTACCAATTGCTACTTCTTTATGAAATATAACAGTAAATTTAAGGCATAACATCAAATTTACATATATAAACACATTTTTGGCATACAAAAGAAGGTAGAGAGAAAAGAATACTGATGAAGTGAAAAATGTTTTCCTTAAAAAAATGAGAGAATTATAAGCTTACATGCTACTGTGGGAGAATTACAAGGCTCAAAATATTTACCAAATACAATGCTAAACTGTGTAGTCTTTAGAATATCTGTCCTCAAAAGCAAAATCACTCTTAGTCATCGACAGCCCTATAAATCGGACTTAGAAATAAAAAGATGCCACATTCGTTTACCATGTTGTAACAGACAATATAGTAAAAACTCTCTTGGGGCAAGAGGGTCTCTCTTTGTCCTTTTTTGTTTTCCTAAATTGTATTTGATAAGACATTCATGGGGTGCTAACCACAGTGCCAAGGAAAAGATCAGCAAAAGGTTTATATACAAAGCTTTTCTTCCCTTTGTGTATATAAATTGAAGGAAAGAACTAATCATTCAAGCATTCATTTCAATCATATGAAAAGAATAGGTTAGGAGGATAAACAGTGATTAATGAGAATGCCATCAGCCAAGAAAGTAAAGGTTTCATTATAATATGAAATTGCTGAAAACTTGCAAAATAAAAGTGCATCTCTAAAGAAAAATATATTTTGTCAGTGCACGTGAACATGCTATAAATTTATCTTAAAAGTAGATCCCACAGTATGTTTCCTGAAAGCTATGCATACAGATCATAGATATTCATGGAATATTTATTAAAATCAGATTTTAGAAAACTCACACAGTAAAAATTATTTTTCTGTTTTTACTTGGGTTAGTTAAGGTGATTATCCTTTAATCTTCCAACCCAGGATTCAGGCATCCTGAAGACTTAACTATAGGTTCTATTTGCAATCACAGAGCCAAGGACAACACACTTGGTCTTTGTTTTACTGACGTTCTTAGGGGTCTCACTATGGGGATATTTATTGATTCATACCCTTCCATTATTTCAAACACAGAACACCTTTGGAGGGCATTAACAATTAATCTAAATTTTTGCAGTACTCTTCAGAGGCATTTTGAACTGTAGCAATGCAGTACAGTGGCTAAGCACATACGATTCACAGTCACACAAACTGAAACTGGAATCACAGCTCTGCTGCAAAACAGCTGTATTATTTTGTTTAGGATCATTAAGTTGTCAGTTGTTTCAATAAAAAATGGGGTTAATACCTGAACCTAATCTGAAGTTTGTTGAAGGCATTCAAAAGATCAAGTATTTGAGGTAGTGAGGACATCTGTCATAAAGAAAGAATTCCATAAATGGTAGCTTTTCCAAAGGAAAAATTAACAATTGAAGTATAGCAAAAATGGAGAGATGTACAAAAATATACATGTAAGCTTGATGAATTTTCACAGAAGACATTCATTAATATTTTATCCTTGCTGGTATTGCCATATCTGTTGTTGTAATTCATAGGAATGGCTTGTAGATTATATGCTCTTTTGTGGCTGGCTTCTTTCATTGACCATGATGCTTGTGATACATGTTCCTGTTGTTCCAAGTAGTGATAGCTGGGGTTTTTTAATTCTCACTATTATAGAATATTCATTTGTATGTTTACACGACCATTTTATTGTTCATTATACTATTAATGGAACTTTTATTTTCTGTTCCAATTGCTCATGACAAATGGTAAGTTGTCTATGGTATATAGTACTTGAAGACAAGATACAACCTGTTCTTTGCCACATCTCATATAGCTGCCTATTCCTATCTATTCTCACTGCCCTCACACCAACATAAATTCTTTCCTATTTTCCTTGCCTCCAGCCTCTCTGTGTTCAAATTTATTCTGAGTATAACTGTCTTAGTTCTTCTCCGTGTAGGTGAATAATGTCTACACATGGACATAAGGTATAAAATAATAGACATTGGAGACTTGGAAGGGTGGGAGGTTGGGAGGGGGGTGAGGAGTGAGAAATTCTTTAATGTGTAAAATGTACACCATTAAAGTGATAGCTACACCAAGAGCCCAGACTTCACCACTATGCAATATACCCAGGTAACAAAACTGCCCTCGTGCCCTCTAAATCTCTACAAATAAATAATAATAATAATAATAATAATAATTGAGGACTATGTTTAAATTGAATATAAAGAACAATGCTGTAAAAAGCATACAAATCAATATTGCCATTTTACAAATGAAAAAACTGAGGCTCAGTTAGGTTAGGCCACTGGCCCAATTCTTCAGATCTAGTAAGACACAGAACAGAAGCCCGAACCAATGCCTGCTGGCTCCAGAAGCTGTAATCTTTTCAGTTTTATGAAGCTAATATTATCTGAATTAGGTATATCTTGCTTTCTGCTTGTTCCAGAAAGTGTTGCCTTCAGTCCTGCCTCATTGCTTTTTCCAGTGAGGTGCCCCTTGCTTAGCATGCCTCTCATCATCAGAGAACTCATCCCTGATTTTGTCATGACCTGTCACGAAGTCCTTCTGGACCACTCTGCCCCAATGGGTCTCTGTCTGTGGCTTGTCTTCCTCAGAAGAATGGGTTTTAAATATTCTCCTAAATCCTGTTCTGTTTATAAGCTTGGACTTCATGCGTGGCTGTGATAGAGCTGAACAGTCAGTGATAGATTTCTAAGTCTTTCTTGTTTTTACAATATTGGCTTGGCCTTCATATACAGAAACTTTGAACCACACTTACTATTCTGAGTTATAATGCAACAACGCTGACTCAAAACTCTTATGACTCTCACCTTCCCATTTTTTAAGCCCACAGTAATGATACGGAAGTGGGGCAGGGAGGTGCTGGGAAGGGAAGGGCAGGTCCCTGGTGAGGGCTCCACCCCCTGGGCCTGTGCCTATGGACCTAGGTGAGAACAGGCACTCCTGCCTTAGCACACAAATGTTGCATTTCCCAAGAACACCCTGGCCTGCCACACCCCCATCCTGTGCCTCTAAAACCCGTGGAGATCCTAGCAGGCAGACACACAGGTGGCTCACTGTTGAGAGCAGTGCACCAATAGGCACCTGCACCATGGCAGGCCACCGACTGGCTGACAGAAGCAGAATGAGCGGAGTTTGGCTAGGGCAGTTGGAGGAGAGCCCAGGCCACTGAGCACCCCAACTCCAGGGGGACACCTTCCCATTCCATCCCCTTCTGACTTCCCCGGAGGTACCTCCACTCAATAAGACCTTGCACTCATTCTCTAAGCCCAAGTGTGATCTGATTCTTCTGGTACACCAAGGCAGGAACCAAGGATACAGAAAGCCTCTGTCTTTGTGACAAGGTAGAGGGTCTAAATGAGCTGGTTAACACAAGCTGCCTACAGACAGCAAACTAAAAGAGCACCCTGTAACACACGCCCACTGGGGCTTCAGGAGCTGTAAACATTCACCCCTAGACACTGTTGTGGTGTCAGAGCCCCACAGCCTGCCCGTCTGCATGCTCTCTTAGAAGTTTGAGCAGTGGGGCACTGAAGAAGTGAGCCACACTCTCATCGCATGCCCTGCGAGGGGTACAAGGGAACTTTTCCCCCTTCAGTAACAGTAATAATATACTGTATTATCAATTTGGGAAAGATAGGTATAGAAATGTAAGCAGTTGATTATTCATTTAAATTGTAACAAACTTCAATATTTATCCCTAATGGAAAAAATCCAATCCTTCATTTCCAGTGTTTTACGTTTATTTTGACAATTACACAGCCCCGTGGGCCACTATTTAACAATGAAAACGCTAACCTATCAGTATAATAAGTGGTTAGTCTCTTATTCACTTTGCCCACAGAATGAAAATTTAACTTGCAATTGCATTAAGAGGTAGCAACCAAGTTAATTGTTAATAACTTGAGTTATTACATTAAGTATAATTTGTTATGGCAATTTGAAAGCAAAGCAGCACTATGACAACTTAGAGGTGAGATCTGGAAAGTTGTTTGCATACAATTATTAAATGCATTATTCTTTTAGCCAATCTATTTTGGTTGGGGTAATTATTATTAATAATAAAGTGACATAGTGACTAAAATAACATATCTCACTGGTTAAGGCAAAAGCATACATAATTTCTGACTGTCTGAATGGTACTTTTTGGCTAGACTAGTGTTCATGCATGCTTTAGCTTATTCCTTAATTATTAAAAGTTATATAATTTCTCACAGTTAATTCATAATACTTTGGATTTTAACATAGAAATGTCAACAGTCATAAGACTATTTATATACTAGAAAAAGATTTATCAAAATTTAGTATCTACAGAGCAGAAATTCATTATGTGCTAGCGTTTCCTCTCATTGACCCATAGAATAGGCAATATAGAAATTAAAATGTCATAGTCACACTTTCGTATTTAAGAATCCAGGGACTGTGCATGGTGGCTCACACCTGTAATGCCTGTATTTTGAGAGGCTGAGGCAGGAGGATCATTTGAAACCAGGAATTCTAAAACAGTTTGACCAATATAGAAAGAACCCTTCTCTACAAAAAAATTAGCTGAATGTGGTGGTATGCACCTGTAGTCTCAGCTACTCAGGAGGCTGAGGTGGGAAGATCCCTTGAGCCCAGGAAGTTGAGGCTGCAGTGAGCCATGATCACGCCACTGCACTCCAACCTGGTGACAGAGATCCTGTCTCTTAAAATAATAACAATCCAGACTCTGGAATCCCAGCACCACCACTTGTTAGCACAACACATTAGAAAAACCTGAAAACATAATGGTGAGCCAATCATTATGATTGTTGTTTATAAAAAAAAGTCGAGCATTAGGAGATATACCTAATGTAAATGACGAGTTAATGGGTACAGCACACCAACATGGCACATGTATACGTATGTAACAAACCTGCACATTGTGCACATGTACCCTAGAACTTCAAGTATAATTTAAAAAATGAAAAAAAAAAAACAAGAAGTTGAGATTTTAAAGGAATTAGAAATGGGATGAATCAGATACACAGTTCACAGAGATTTGGAGCAGAAGACAGGGAACCATGGTAGGGCCTCAAACACAGAAGATGAGCATCAACATTACTTAAGTAAGCTACAGGAAAGACTTCGGAGACCAGAATTAAGCAGAAACTTAGTTACTAGAATCAATGTTCTTTGCTAGGTCCAGCATTCAGGAGCTAAGACAATATGAAGCTATTGGATGAAGCCAGCATGAGACACACTGCCTTACCCACTGCTCTAGACGTGAAGACTGGCAGTGGCATAACAGGGGGCTTTAGGGGCTTTTCTGACTGCACTATTTTTGGATATTTTTCTCTTTGGCTTGCAATTATGCCATAAAGCCAGGTATTAGGCAGAGGCTCTGTGGGAAAGGAGACGTGGTTCAGTTCAAAGTTTCCTCTCAGACAGATGAACACCGCAGTTATTAAAAATCTTCTTTCAATCTTTACCCCAGCCATTACTGTATCTACCAAAGCAATCCCTTCCAAAGACTTCAACTCACCCAAAGATCACTTAGCTCTGAATCCGTGGATTCTGACTACTTTTCCTAAAATTCAGAAAAGCAACTGTTTTCAGGTTTTTAAAAAAGTACCTCTTTTCATGAATCACTTAAAACAAGAACTGCCTTGTGATGAGCGTGAGATTCAGAGATCTAGCCCTAGCCAGGGCTCAATTTTCTTGTACTTACCTTTGAATCAAACTGATCTCATGCCTAGAGAGTGACCTGAGTGCTACCTGAATATAATATAGGAAAGCAATCCGTGTATCAACGGAAAACATACATAAATTATAGCACACCCTTCAGCGTGTCCTCATTCTCATTCTATAGGAGTCATAAGGACTTGTGTAAATGGAATATTTTTAAATTCCCAAGAAAATAAAAAAGTTTGATTTCTAATGCTTTAAATGTGCTGAATTAAGCAAGTATTTTAAAGAAACCAATTCAGAAACTTTTTAAAAATCCAAATTCACGTAATTTAAGTAAATCTTTGGCAAATTCGTTAACAAATTTGGTTCAATAAAACTACCGTTATCTTCTCAGTTCTATCAGTGTCAAATATAATACAAGCTTTTTTTACCATCCTATTTTTTTTCTTTAGTTTGGGAACCACTTCTTGAACACATTTTTTAAAAAAATTGATACATTACAATTTTGTGTATTTATGGAGTTCAAGTTGATATTTTGATACATATATATGTTGCATAATGATCAATTCAAGGTATTTAGCATGACCATCTCCTCACACATTTATCATTTCTTTGTGTTGAAGACATTCAGAAGCCTGTCTTGTAGCTACTTGGTAATATACAATACCTTACAGTTAACCCATCATCACTCTACTATGCAGAATAACACCAGAAATTATTCCTCGTATCTAATTGTAACTTTGTGCCTGTGGACTAAACTCTCCCCATGCTCTCCTCTTCCCTCCTCTCTTCGGTCTCTGGAAACCACTGTTCCATTCTATGCTTCTAGGATATTAACTTTTTTTTTCTTTTTCTGGATTCCACATATGAGTGAGATCATGAGACATTTGTCTTTCTTCATCTGGCTTATTTAAGATAATATTTTGCAAGTCCATCCATGTTTGCCTCAAATGACAAGATTTTATGAGTTTTATGGCTAAATAGAATTCAGTTGTGTATATATACCACATTTTCTTTCTCCATTCATTCATTTTTGGGCACTTGGGTTGATTATGTATCTTGGCTATTGTAAATACTGATTCAATAAATGTGGGAGTGACCTCACTTTGCCATACTGAATTCACACCCAGTAGTGAGAGTGCTGGATTATGTGGTAGTTCCATTTTTAATTTTTTGAGACAGGTTCATGGGTATGCTTTTCTAAATGTATATAGGCTTTCTGATAAAAATAAGTTAAATAATTCCTAATGTTTTAAGATCATAAAACATGTAAGTTTGTTTTTAACTAAATTAATTTTGACAAACTATTTCAATAGTAACTATATTTTATAGTACGTTAGCTTGAACATAATTTCTAAAGCCTTTAAGTAACTTAAAACCTTGAACAAATATTAAATTAATTGAAAATCATTAGATGCTTATTACTTCTTAGTAAGACTAGAATACTAAGACATTAATTGTTAAGCATCATTTTAGGTTTATATGCTTTTTCCTCCATTTATTTTTTATTTATTTATTTATTTATTTATTTTTGAGCCGGAGTCTCACACTCTTGCCCAGGCTGGAGTGCAGTGGCACGATCTCTGCTCACTGCAACCTCCACCTCTCGGGTGCAAGGGATTCCCCTGCCTCAGCCTCCTGAGTAGCTGGGATTACAGGTGCCTGCCACAATGCCTGGCTAATTTTTTTGTATCTTTAGTAGAGACAGGGTTTCACTATGTTGGCCAGGCTGGTCTTGAACTCCTGACCTCGTGATCCGCCTGCCTCAGCCCTCCCAAAGTGTTGGGATTACAGGCGTGAGCCACCGTGCCCAGCCTTCTCTAATTTTTATATGCTGCAAAGAAGCATCTTTGGATCTATTACAGAATAATTGGCTCTTCAATTATGAAAGAGCTAAGATTATTTATGATTACATTACCTTCTATTTTGAAGTACTTTATTTTCCCTTTCAAATGTGTTGTCAATTATCATTTATTTGGTATTTATGGTTCTGAGCTAAATTTTCAAGTTTCCTAACAAATTTGATTTTGGCTTTCCAGTTCAAATCTTTAATATAAAATGGAATAAAATAAAATTTTCAGAATATCTCTTACACCTAAAACTGTCTTTGAGATTTCCCAACCGTACCTTGAAACATCATACAGTTTAATTTTTTCACCTTATAAAAAGAAAAGCTCTAGGAATAATTAGTGTGTTTGATATATTATGATTTATGAGTTTCATTGAAAGAATTGTCAAATAAACACACTGCTCAGCCTTCCAATTGTTAAATTTTTATCATTAAAATAACTATAGTCATGCACTCCATAATGACGTTTCAGTCAATTATGAAACACATATTTGACAGTGGTTCCATAAGGTTAAAATACTGTACTTTTGGCTGGGCGCAGTGGCTCATGCCTGTAATCCCAGTGCTTTGGGAGGCTGAGGCGACTAGATCACTTAAGGTCAGGAGTTCGAGACCAGCCTTGCCAACATGGTGAAACCCCGTCTCTACTAAAAATACAAAACTTAGCCAAGTGTGGTGGTGGGCACCTGTAATCCCAGCTACTCAGAAGGCTGAGGCAGGAGAATCACTCGAACCTGGGAGGTGGAGGCTGCAGTTAGCTGAGATTGTGCCACTGCACTCCAGCCTGGGTGACAGAGTGAGACTCTGTCTCAAAATAAAATAAAATAAAATAAAATATAAATAAATAAATAAAATACTGTACTTTTACCATACCTTTTCCATGTCTAGATATGTTTAGAAACACAAATACTTACCATGCATTACAATTGCCTGCAGTACTCAGTACAGTAACATACCACCCAGGTTTGTAGCTTAGGAGCAATAGACTATATACTATACAATGTAGGTGTGTGGTAGGACATACCATTTAGGTCTATGTAAGTACACTCTGTGATGTTCACACAATGAGGAAATTGCCTAACAATATATATATCAGAGTGTATCCTTTTCATTAAACAAAGCATGACTTCTTCAGAGATGGCATGTTTTATGGGAAGTCTACAGTTATTAGTCAATGCCTTTTCTTTCCATATGTCATAACCTCAGAAACACTGAAATAAATAGCAAGCAATAGTTCTGCCAAGTTTTCCTATGTTTATATATAGGTATATACATGTGATTGGCCTGATGACATTAGGCAACAACAGTAAAGTGTTATCAGTCATAAATTCAGTTATTATTTAAAATGTTTATATGACCATAACCTCATTTATTTATTTATTTATTTATTTTTAGACAGAGTGTCATTCTATTCCCTAGGCTGGAATGCAGTGGCACAATCTCGGCTCACTGCAACCTCCGCCTCCCGGGTTCAAGAGATTCTCATGCCTCAGCCTCCCGAGTAGCTGGGATTACAGGTGCCTGTCTCCATCCCTGACTAATTTTTGTATTTTTGGTAGAGTTGGGATTTTGCCATATTGGCCAGGCTGGTCTCGAACTCCTGACCTCAGGTGATCCGCCTGCCTCGGCCTCCCAGAGTGCTGGGATTACAGGTGTGAATAGCCTCATTTCTTTAATTTGGATCTAGCGTCATCTAGGCCAATACTTTACATTTGATGATACACATCAATATTAACAATGGAGTTGGTTTTGTTTTGTCTTTTGTTAAAAATGCAGATAATTAGAATTTACATCAAACTTACTAAACTTCTTGATAGTATCATGTATGCTTGACATATATTCTTACTAAGGGCTTGGTATATTCTTGGGATATGGTAATATATTGTTTTAAGATTATTATAGTTACATCTCAAAATATTTTTCTTCATAAAAATTGTTTATTCATTTTTACGAAATAAAATATTCACTGTATTCTTGGAAAATATCTTTAATCATTATGCTTACAGGCATTTTGTCAAAACCTTTTTTGGTTTAACCTTATTTTCTTCTTTATTTCACAAGCCACAGCATCAATCTAATTTCCTTGTCAGTTGCATTATTCTTGTCATGAACTCTCATCAGACTTTTCACTTTTGAAAATTATCAGTAATAAATTTACCACAGCCATTTTCTATCTCTGTCTTCTACAGGTAGGTTTTGTTTTATTCTAATCTTTCCCCAAATGTTCTATAATCAGCTACAGGCTAGAGTTTTTCTGGTACTCAAAGAAGGACTGTCTTAGATCCCTGTGAAAAAGGGGTATAACAGTTATTTCCAACAACTGTTTCATTGAAAACTAGATTTTTGAGTATAGGCTTCCAATATCTGATGGCATCCCTTAGACAACTTTAATACCATATGGGGGTACTGAGTAAGAATTTTCTGCAGTTGAAAAGCAGAGAGGTTCATGAGACTGCTAACCCAAGACCCAGTGGAACCAGAATTAATTATATGGGATTGAATAAATTGATGATGGATGACTATAGCTTTATTTTTCATATTGCTGACATTTTAATATATATTACCTATCTATATTCTCTATATAAATATATATTTATATATAAAGAAAATATACATAAATATATATTTATATATAAAGGAAATATATATATTTATATATAAAGAAAATATATGTAAATATATATAGGACATATATTCAAATATCCTTTGTTATTTGTTAGACACACATACAAACATACAAACTTTGTTACCGTGTTGTGTGTAAATCATAACAATTTAATCATTTAATAGACCCTGCACTGGTAAGCTAAGGGAAAACTTTTAAATGATATATTTTCTCTGACATCCAGAAATCCAGAAACTCTAATTGAGTCTCCTTCCTATTCATAGCAGTGCAGTTATTTGCATACATTCATGAAAAATTTGTCTTCCTTCTTTTCAGGATACAATTGGAAAGTTGGTTACACAACCCAAGACTTGCCAGAATGTCATATTCAAAAATGATGCTCTTTTTTTCAGGTTTGACCAGGCCACTTCTAAGGTAATTTATGGAGCCCTTTCTTACAAAGCCATCCCAGGAACAGTAGCCTGGTATCTCGCTTACAGGATCCAGACTTACAGGTGGTAACACAAGTCACTTCCCAGAGAGTCCAGGAAATGGCATATTTTGGGGGCCTTGAAAAGAGAAGAACTTGCCAAAATTTATACTATTTGCAGGTGAAATCTAGTGGAGATAATTTCTTGGGCTTGTTCTTCCTAGCTTCAGGACAGCAATAGAGTAATAAAAAAGTCCCATCTGAGACTCCTTATGAAAACATCCAGGGAGGCAACTTAAGAAGGCCTGTATAGAAAGTTACAGTCTTTCTGCTCTTATCTAAATAATCAGGTCAAAACTACTAAGACTGGTAGCCTTATTTTGTGACCAAATAAAAACATCGTTCTATGAGGGTTTTTTGTTTGTTTGTTTGTTTGTTTTCTTTTGTTTTTATTATAAGGGGAGAGACTACTGGAAAAAATCTGAGCTGCAGTGAAAACTATATACTGCCGGAAGCAAATCTTTCTGATTATCGAATTCCATTTTTATGAGAGCTATCATAGAGTTTTGTAAGTTATAAATAACTGCTAGTAGTGCAGAATAATTCTTCAGGAAGGAAAAGAAGCCTTGAGTGCCATGTCAGCTATTCCCACCTAGAGAAGCAGGAACAAAGATTTTCCTCCCACTAATTCAGAACACAGGTCCTAGCCTACCCTGACTTCTAATTTTTCTCTTCTGGGAGTATGTGACCTTCGGTGTTCCTACTTTCCCAAGTCCAGTCTGGTTGGATAGGGCCTGGGCTCTGCTCAGAGGCTGACACTGCTTTGTTTCAGGGGAACTTGCTGACATTTCCCTGTTCTCCTCCGACAGTTCTGTGGTAACAGATGCCTGATGCTTTGTCTGGATTTACATTTTCAAAGAGTCTGTCCCTTCTGGAGCAGGAACTGAGATGTCTTTCTCAACAGGGTCTCTGTTCTGGGAAGATGGCTTGCCTTCACTCTGGTGAGGGAGGTTCCCAACCCTGCACCTCCTTCTGGAGGCTCTCCTGATTTGAAGTCTTCTTTTTCTGCTTTTTTGGTCTAAATTAGGGTGCTGGCTCTTTCCTAGAAATGGAAATTCAGGAGATCCCTTCTCCTTTCCCTTCAGTGTGCCCCCTCTGCCCTCCAGATCTCCAGTTCAGTCACCCTATGCCAGATTTGGTCTTTGACACTGGGTGTGAAGTTGGAAATGTTGTTTGCTTTCTTTTCAGTGTGATGTGCCTCTGTATGCCCATGGCCAGGATCACAGTGAGAACATCTCAAGGCTGTCTGGCCTTCCCCACCCCCATGTGTGGTTTAGCAAGAGCACTATCCAGGGTGGGTAGCACCATCTTTTTCAATCACCTGTTCTCTGTGACCTTAATGGTTTGTTCCAAGGAACTGGGAAACCTTGGCTATGGAGTCTACTCCTGAACCAAGGGTGTCTGAGAAGGGAAAGGTGACCTGGGAAAATGGCTATGACTCAATGTCTCTCATCTGATACAATTATATGAATTTAAAAACTTTGATAAGTCTTTCTATTTATTCTACCTACAGTCATACATTAACTGGGTCTAGCTTTACTCCTGGGAGTTTTTGGCTTTTACTTCACTTCACAATTTTCAAGGTCTTCAAAGACTGGAGTCTTTCAAGAATTTTTTACTTATTTCTAAATCTTCACATTCTTAGGAATTTTTCTGTCCTCCACTCCAGCTTCTCCATATAATCTGGTCTTGCCTTGGATCAGCCCAGATGTAGAACTCAGTCCCAACTTGAATTTTATCCAACATAATCCACCTTCCCAAAAAACATGAATGAGAAAAATATCCTGTATTAAATATACCATAAGAGTGACAAAGCGGGAGGGAGGTGCTAGCACACCCCGTGCAGGAGGGAGGTGCTAGCACACCCCGTGGATACATAGACAAATGGAGCAGAATAGAAAACCCAGAAATAAGCCACTGAATTTACAGCCAACTGATTTGCAACAAACATGCTAAGAACACACAATGGAGAAAGGACAGACTCTTCATTAAATAAAACTGGATATCCACATGCAGAAAAATAAAATTTAACCCTTATCTCTCACCATATAAAAAAAACTAACTAAAAATAGATTAAAGACTTAAATGTAAGATCCAAAACTGTGAAACTGCTAGAAGAAAACTTAGGGGATAAGCTTTATAATGTTGGTCTGGGCAATGATTTTCTGGATATTACCGCAAAAGCACAGGCAACAAAAGCAAAAATAGACAGATGAGATTATATCAAGTTAAAAAGCTTTGCACAGCAAAGAAAACAATCAGCAGAGTGAAGAGACAACCTATAGAATGAGAACAAATGTTTGAAACTCTACATTTCATAAAAGGTTAATATCCAAAATATCTAAGAAACTCAAACACTTCAATAGCACAAAAATAGATAACCAAATTTTAAAAATGGACAGAAGACCTAAATAGATATTTCTCAAAAGAAGATATATGAATAGCCAACACATATGTAAAACAATACTCAACATCACTAATCATTGGTGAAATGGAAATCAAAACCACAATTAAATATTACCTTACCTCCTGTTATAATGGCTGTCATCAAAAAGACAAAAACTAGCAAAAGTTGACAAGAATGTGAAAAAAGGGAACTCTAAAACACTGCTGGTGGAAATGAAAATAAGTATAGTCATTATGGAAAACAATATGGAGTTCCTCAAAAAAGTAAAAATAAAACTACGTTATGATCCAGCAACCCCACTACTGGGTATCTATCCAAAGGAAACAAAATCATTATGTTGAAAAGAAATCTGCATTCTCATGTTTATCACAGCCCTATTCACAATAGTCAAGATATGAAATCAACCTAAGTATCTATTGGTGGATGAAAGGATAAAGAAAATGTGGTGTATATACACAATGGAATACTGTTTAGCCATGAAAAGAACAGAATCCTGTCATTTGCAACAAGATGGATGAACGTGAATGACAATATGTTAAGTGAAATATGCCAGATACAAAAAGACAATTACTGTATAATCTCATGTCAATGTGAAATCTAAAAAAGTTGGTAACATAGTAGCAGAGAGTACATTGGTGGTTTGCCAGAGGCTGAAGTGGTTTGGAAGGAGGAGGGATTGAAGGTATGTTTGTCAAAGGATGTATATTTATAGTTAAATAGGAGAAATGAGATACGTTGTACAGCATTGTGACTACAGTGAACGACAATATATTATTTTCTTAAAAAGTGCTAAGAGAATGCATGTTAAGTGTTCTCACCACAAAAAAAAATGATTCTACATAACGTAGTAATGTTTATTAGTTAGCTAGATTTAACAATTCTACGGTGCATATACACCTTAAAACATCATGTTGTGACTGCGCTCGGTGGCTCATGCCTGTAATCCCAGCACTTTGGGAGGCCGAGGAGGGCAGATCACCCGAGGTCGGGAGTTCGAGACCAGCCTGACCAACATGGAGAAACCCTGTCTCTATTAAAAAAAAAAAATACAAAATTAGTTGGATGTGTTCGCACATGCCTGTAATCCCAGCTACTCAGGAGGCTGAGGCAGGAGAATCATTTGAACCCAGGAGGTGGAGGTTGCAGTGAGCAGAGCCAAGATTGTGCCATTGCACTCCAGCCTGGGCAACAAGAGTGAAACTCCATCTCAAAAAAAAAAAAAAAAAATTCATGTTGCAGACAACAAATACATACAATTTTATATCTCGATTTAAAATAAGCAAACTTTAAAAGAGATTATAATTGTGATTATTAAGTGTGTATATGTGTGCATGTATGTGGGTGCACACGTGTGGTTTGTGTACTTCTAGAAGGGAAATCATGCATTTTCTTCTCCCTTACTTTTCATGCTTATGTAAGAAGCATTTGACAATGAACGATAAGTATTTTGCAAAAATAAGCCTGGATTCTATGCAATCATGGCCTATGTGAGCATTTGAGGACCCTGAGGAAAGGATGCAAGTACAACTGGTTTATTTGGGAGGTGACCACAGAGGCACTGGTAGAGGGGCAGTAGTTCCCACTGGGATAAAGCTGGGAGCTACTGTGGCACATGTGACTCAGGGCCATCCAACAGGAGAGATCACTTCCTGGGGGCTGCTCCCACAAGATGTTAACTCTCTGGCCCTTCAAGGGACCTAGGGAGAGAAGGTTCTGGCAGCCAGAGGGAATCCTCAGGGAGTGAAAAGCCAGTTGTGCATGACGGTCATAATGCCTGAGTGAGTCTGGGCAGGAAGCTTCAAATCAGCTTCAAGTACTCTGACATGTACTCAGAGTGCTGTGCGTTCCATCATTACTTCCTATGGTTTTCGCTTGTGTTTGAGAGGTTTCGATTGTGTTTTCTCTCTCTACTTCCCTCATCCAGCCACTCCTGAGTGTTGAGGATACTCAGGACTTCCAGACAGAAATCTTCTGGAAAAGGAGGAATCCTCTGAGGCCAGCCTGGGGGACAGATGAACCTCAAGTTCCCCTGTGTAGCATTCATTTGTGTTTGCCTACATGGAGGTATCTGGCTTCTAGAAAACCCCTCAGTTTTTATTAGGGGATGCCCCTCCCCCATGCAAACAGTCTCAGTTTATGTGAATCAGGATGGACACATGCGGATTTAAATCAGGACAGTTTAAACAACAACAGGATAAGTCCTAGGGTCTTTGTTAAGAATACCAGAAAAGGTACCCACCTTTTTTGTTCTGGAGCTAAAGTTGGAAAGATTTTCCCCCGGTACCTCTGTCTGCCATTGTGTGACAATAGGAAGAGGTCCTCTCTGGGAAGGGGTCAGCTCAGTACAGTGAAGAGAGCTCAGTTCAAGAGATAAGTAAGGTCCTGAACCATCATTTGGGAGTGGGAACATTTCTCCAGCCTGGCCTAGGACCCAGACCTACACCTCTATTATCAGGACATCCAGAAAGAAATTAGTTGGAGTAAAACTTCTGGATTTTAAATTCAGAAGTTTCCAAAATGCAACATTTACTGACAGGTTATTATAATATAGGAAGTAATAGTAATAACCTATTGAAGGCATTTTCAGCAATAGGGAAATCTTTGAAAACCAGAAACTGGGTTTACCATTGGTGAATTTCTTAAATTTTATTGCCTCAGTTTTCTCAATATTAAACTGAAATAAAACCCTGTATGTACCATACAGAAGGACTGTGAGGGTTAAGGAACCTAATAAACATTTTGCAAAGATCTTGGCACATGGTATTATTATCTCAGTAAGGCCTGCAGCTATGTCTGGTATTCATTTGTGGAACCACTAAAATTCTAGTGCCAACTATACTTTATTCATAGTAAGTTGTTAACAAATAAACGCTGGTTGAATGAATAGATTGAAGGAAGTAGGCATAATATTCCAAATATTTAACAACAAGATGGCTGACTAGACACAGGTAGCATATGCCTTGTACATGGAGAGAAACCAGAGTAGTAAGTAGATACTCATATTTTGAACAGAATGTCTAGGAGATAATATTAGGATTCCCCAGAGAAGAGATGGGAAGCACAAGAAGTAAGTAAGGAGAGAGTTTGAGGCAGCTTGCCCACACAGGAGCTGACTGAGATCTGAGAGAGGCTCTTGGACATGGGGAAACAGAGAGAAACCCCGAGGCCTGAGACATGGGCTTTTACCATCTTGGCTATGGGAGAAACCCTTGACTTACTAGGCCCCTGAACCTTACATATAGAGTTGCCTAAAGATTGCACAGAGACATTGCTCCAAAAAGGGAACCCACATAGAATCCCTCAAGCATTCAAGCCTGGTATGTAGCCTCAGTTGGGAGCCATTTTGAAAGCCTGGATATAGGGATCTTCAGACACAGCTGTGGCCACTGTGATGCTCCAAAAAGAAATCAGGCACTGCCACACACCTCTGGGAGGGTTCCTGCCACCCTGCTGCAAGCTTCTATTGAGACTGAGATGTGAGAGCCTACACCTCTTACAGCTTCTTGCCCATGTTGTTTGCTTGGAATGTGCCATTTACTATCTGGTCCCAGGCCCAAGGTGCCATTTTAAGAGTTTAACACTAGACTGTGCTTCACCTTTGGTCTGAGTTCAGGCTGATTCGGCTGTAACTGCTCCAGCCAAGGAGAGATAGGGAAATCAGCCTATTTTATGCATATCTAGGACAATACCCACTGCCCTGTAATGGGATACTGTAAGATTGAGATGTGAGTGAACTGCACTCCCACAGCTTTTTGATAATCCTGCTTGCCTGGCAGGGGCCCCATTGTCCCAGGTAACAAACCCATGGTTGGAACCATTTTGAATTTAATGCTGGACTCCGTGCCACCCTCAGGCCAAGTTTGAGGTGATGCAGCTGGACCCACCATCCAGCTTGGGGAGGAACAGGGAAGACCAAATTCTCTTATGCACTCTTAGGACAATACTCACCACCCTGTGATAGGCAGTATAAGACGGAGAGCTAACCTAACCCATCGCAGCCTCCAGCAACACCAACACAAAACACCTGGGTCCCAGTAGTTGCTCCAATACCACTACTGCCATCACCCACACCACTCCAGCTGTCCAAGGGCCTAAGAACCCACCTACATGCTTTGTTCACTATTCCATCTACTCTAAGCAAGCCATCAGGAGACCCAAAAATCAGCCCTCCAGGACCTGTTAACACTGAAGTCAGTGTAAGGTGCTCTGGGGCCTAAAAACACTCACATTTACCCCATTGCTGCTACCACTGGATCGCAAAGACTGGTTCAGTTTGCATCCCAAGTTCTCAGTTATGCTTCATCAAAGCCACAAATAATAACTGTACCCTAAGTCATTGATGATATCACAGCGATTACTCACTCTGTGTATTACTGAGGAAGTCATATGAAAATCACACTATGCAGGCACTCAAAATCAAAGCCAAATATCTTAATCAACAACATACATATATCCTTAGGAAAAAAAATCTCCCCTACAGAAGCAATTTCAAACAACTGGAACATGCAACTGCTATGCCAGATGCACAGATATCAATGGAAGGACACAGGAAACATGAAAAATATGATGCCACCAAAGGACCACAACAACTGTCCAGCAAGAGATTCCAACCCAAAAGTACTCCTTGAAATACCAGATAAATAATTCAAAATACTGATTTTTAAAGAAGCTCAATGAGATGCAAGAGAAATCTGAAAATCAACACAAAGAAATGAGAAAATCAATTAAGTATATGGTAATGAGATATTTACCAAAGAGATGAATATCTTTAGCAAATGAAGCAAAAGTTCTGGAAATAAAAAGTTTATTGAGGGAAACACAAAATACATTTGAAAGCTTCCATAGTAGTCTAGACCAAGCAGAAGAAAAAATCTCAGAACTTAAAGACAGATCTTCTGAAATAATGTAGTCACACAAAAATAAGAAAATAATTAAAAAGAATAAACAAAGTATTTGAGCCATCTGGGACTAATAAAGTGACCAAACTTACAAATTATTGGTATTCCTGAGGGGAAAAAGAGATCAAAAATTTTAGAAAACACATGTAAGAAAATAATTGATGAAAACTTCCCAAGTCTATCAAGAAAGTTAGACACCAATAGAAAAAGCCCCAGTGAGCCCCAGGAAAATACACTGCAAAAAGGACTTCACCACAGCATATTATATTTAGAATGTCTAAAGTCAAAGTGAAATAATTTTAAAAATACCAAGAGAGAAACACGTAGTCACCTATAAACATGTGGTCATCCATCAGATTAACAGCAGACTTTTCAGCAGAAACTTTACAGGCCAGAGGAGAATGGGATGGCATATTCATAGTGTTGAAAGGAAGAAGCAAACAAACAAACAAAAACTGCCAGCCAATAATTATGTATCCTTTCAGAACAAGGTTGATAAATGAAAGAGAAATAAAGTATCTCCTGGACAAACAAATGCAGAGAGAATTTGTCACCACTAGGCCAGGCCTATAGGAAATGTTCAAAGGGGTCTTTACCATGGAAACACAGTTCAATATTCACTATCACAAAACACATTGAAATACAAAATGCACAGTTCATATAAAAGAATCACACAAAGAAAGAAGACAAAGAAATCAAATGGCAACATGTTAGAATTTCATCAAAGCACAAAGACAAAAAGACAGAGAAAAAGAAAAAAACAAATAATGTATAAAACATGAAAACAATCAACAATGTAACAGGAACAAAGTCTCACATATCAATATTAACTGTGAATGTACATGGACTAAATGCTCCACTTAAGAGATACAGTTAGGCAGAATGTATTTCAAAAAGCCATGATCCAACTATGTGCTGCCTACAAGAAAAATCACCTGACCCACAGAAACATATAGATTGAAAGTAAAGAAGTAGAAAAATGTATTCCATGCAAATGAAAACCAAAAGCAAGAAGGAGTAGATATACTTGTACCAGATAAAATAGACTTTAAACAAGAACAGTAAAGAAAAAGACAAAGAATGTCATTGGATAATGATAAAGGGATCAATTCATTAAGAGTATATATTTTATATATATATAAAATATATATATGAAATACTATATATATACTATATATAAAATATATATATATGAAATACTACTAAGACATAAAAAAGAATGAGATCATGCCCTTTGCAGCAACATAGATGGAACTGGTGGCCATTATCCTAAGTGAAACCACTCAGAAACAGAAATCAAATACCACATGGTCTCACTTATAAGTGGGAGCCAAACAATGGGTACACATGGACATACAGAATGTAATAATGGGCACTTGGAGACCATAAAACATGGGAGAGTAAGAAGTGGGTGAATGTAGAAGGACTATCTGTTGGGTACAAGGTTCATTATTTGAGTGATGAGTACACTAAAAGCCCAGACTTCACCACTATGCAATATATGCATGTAAGAAACCTGTACTTGTACTCCCAAGTGTGTAAAAATTTTTTAAATTAACAACTGGTATGGTACCTGCACCAGCAACACACACTGTACCGTCAGAAGCAACCAGTATAGTACTGCTTGTGTACATATCTACTGAATATGAACTAGAATAAATGAGAAAGCAAATATTAAAATGCCAATTATATGTAAATTATTCCTTATATACAATATATACAGTGTATAACTCAGTTCTCTAAAATTGAACTATCTTTAATTTTACTTTCAGAGGAGCATACATGGGGTGATGCTGCCCACTGGTTATTGTTTTATGAAAAATAAATTTGGTCAGGCATGGTGGCTTGTGCCTGTAATCCCAGCATTTTGGGAGGCTGAGGTGGGAGGATCACTTGAGATCAGGAGTTTGAGACCAGCCTGGACAACATGGTGAAACCTCATCTCTACTAAAAATACAATAAATTAGCAGGGCATGGTGGCATGCACCTGTAATCCCAGCTACTCGGGAGGCTGAGGCAGGAGAATCGCTTGAACCCAGGAGGTGGAAGTTGCAGTGAGCCGAAGTCTCACTACTGCACTACAGCCTGGGTGGCAGAGCAAGACTCCATCTCAAAAAATAAATAAAAGTTACCAGAATACATTTCCTTGATTACATGACTCTTTATAGAGACTTTTACTTCTGAGAAAAGAATCATGACTTGACATCCCCCTAAATGTCTATATTACAAGAAGTCCCTTGCCTGGGCTCTATAGTTCTGCGGCTAAGAGGATGCTTTGAGACTGTATGCTAGGTATATGCATGACACCTCACAGAAGTAATCTGTTTGAAGAGTCCCTCAACATGAGCTGTGTGATTTTACTATTCTTTATGAATAGTAAGGACTGGCTCTGTGTCCCACAGAAAGGGCAAAGTAGAGCTAGAATACAAACCCATCTTTTCTTTTCTTTTTTTCTTAAATTTTATTATTATACTTTAAGTTTTACGGTACATGTGCACAACGTGCAGGTTTGTTACATATGTATACATGTGCCATGTTGGTGTGCTGCACCCATTAACTCGTCATTTAGCATTAGGTATATCTCCTAATGCTATCCCTCCCCCCAGCCCCCACCCCACAACAGGCCCTGGTGTGTGATGTTCCCCTTCCTATGTCCATGTGTTCTCATTGTTCAATTCCCATCTATGAGTGAGAACATGCAGTGTGTGGTTTTTTGTCCTTGCGACAGTCTGCTAAGAATGATGGTTTCCAGTTTCATCCATGTCCCTATAAAGGACATGAACTTATCATTTTTTATGGCTGCATAGTATTCCATGGTGTATATTTGCCACCTTTTCTTAATCCAGTCTATCGTTGTTGGACATTTAGGTTGGTTCCAAGTCTTTGCTATTGTGAATAGTGCCGCAATAAACATACATGTGCATGTGTCTTTATAGCAGCATGATTTATAATCCTTTGGGTGTATACCCAGTAATGGGATGGCTGGGTCAAATGATATTTCTACTTTTAGATCCCTGAGGAATCGCCACACTGACTTCCACAATGGTTGAACTAGTTTACCGTCCCACCAACAGTGTAAAAGTGTTCCTATTTCTCCACATCCTCTCCAGCACCTGTTGTTTCCTGACATTTTAATGATTGCCATTCTAACCGGTGTGAGATGGTATCTCATTGTGGTTTTGATTTGCATTTCTCTGATGGCCAGTGATGATGAGCATTTTTTCATGTGTTTTTTGGCTGCATAAATGTCTTCTTTTGAGAAGTGTCTGTTCATATCCTTTGCCCGCTTGTTGATGGGGTTGTTTGTTTTTTTCCTGTAAATTTGTTTGAGTTCACTGTGCATTCTGGATATTAGCCCTTTGTCAGATGAGTAGGTTGCAAAAATTTTCTCCCATTCTGTAGGTTGCCTTTTCACTCTGATGGTAGTTTCTTTTGCTGTGCAGAAGCTCTTTAGTTTAATTAGATCCCATTTGTCAATTTTGGGTTTTGTTGCCATTGCTTTTGGTGTTTTAGACATGAAGTCCTTGCCCATGCCTATGTCCTGAATGGTATTGCCTACGTTTTCTTCTAGGGTTTTTATGGTTTTAGGTCTAACATTTAAGTCTGTAATCCATCTTGACTTAATTTTTGTATAAAGTGTAAGGAAGGGATCCAGTTTCAGCTTTCTACATATGGCTAGCCAGTTTTCCCAGCACCATTTATTAAATAGGGAATCCTTTCTCCATTGCTTGTTTTTGTCAGGTTTGTCAAAGATCAGATAGTTGTAGATATGTGGCATTATTTCTCAGGGCTCTGTTCTGTTCCATTGGTCTGTATCTCTGTTTTTGTACCAGTACCATGCTGTTTTGGTTACTGTAGCCTTGTAGTATACTTTGAAGTCAGGTAGGGTGATGCCTCCAGCTTTGTTCTTTTGCTTAGGATTGACTTGGTGATGCGGGCTCTTTTTTGGTTCCATATGAACTTTAAAGTAGTTTTTTCCAATTCTGTGAAGAAAGTCATTGGTAGCTTGATGGGGATGACATTGAAACTATAAATTACCTTGGGCAGTATGGCCATTTTCACGATATTGATTCTTCCTACCCATGAGCATGGAATGTTCTTCCATTTGTTTGTATCCTCTTTTATTTCATTGAACCGCGGTTTGTAGTTCTCCTTGAAGAGGTCCTTCACATCCCTTGTAAGTTGGATTCCTAGGTATTTTATTCTCTTTGAAGCAATTGTGAATGGGAGTTCACTCATGATTTGGCTCTCTGTTTGTCTGTTATTGGTGTATAAGAATGCTTGTGATTTCTGTACATTGATTTTGTATCCCGAGACTTTGCTGAAGTTGCTTATCAGCTTGAGGAGATTTTGGGCTGAGATGATGGGGTTTTCTAGATATACGATCATGTCATCTGCAAACAGGGACAATTTGACTTCCTCTTTCCCTAATTGAATACCCTTTATTTCCTTCTCCTGCCTGATTGCCCTGGCCAGAACTTCCAACACTATGTTGAATAGGAGTGGTGAGAGAGGGCACCCCTGTCTTGTGCCCATTTTCAAAGGGAATGCTTCCAGTTTTTGCCCATTCGACTTCGTATGATATTGGCTGTGGGTTTGTCATAGATAGGTCTTATTATTTTGAGATGCATCCCATCGATACTTACTTTATTGAGAGTTTTTAGCATGAAGGGTTGTTGAATGTTGTCAAAGGCCTTTTCTGCATCTATTGAGATAATCATGTGGTTTTTGTCTTTGGTTCTGTTTATATGCTGGATTACATTTATCGATTTGCGTATGTTGAACCAGCCTTGCATCCCAGGGATGAAGCCCACTTGATCATGGTGGATAAGCTTTTTGATGTGCTGCTGGATTTGGTTTGCCAGTATTTTATTGAGGATTTTTGCATCGATGTCCATCAAGGATATTGGTCTAAGATTCTCTTTTTTGGTTGTGTCTCTGCCAGGCTTTGGTATCAGGATGATGCTGTCCTCATAAAATGAGTTAGGGAGGATTCCCTCTTTTTCTATTGATTGGAATAGTTTCGGAAGGAATGGTACCAGCTCCTCTTTGTACCTCTGGTAGAATTCAGCTGTGAATCCATCTGGTCCTGGACTTTTTTTGGTGGGTAAGCTATTGATTATTGCCTCAATTTCAGAGCCTGTTATTGGTCTATTCAGAGATTCAACTTCTTCCTGGTTTAGTCTTGGGAGGATGTATGTGTCGAGGAATTTATCCATTTCTTCTAGCCTTTCTAGTTTATTTGCGTAGAGGTGTTTATAGTATTCTCTGATGGTAGTTTGTATTTCTGTGGGATCGGTGGTGATATCCCCTTTATCATTTTTTATTGCGTCTATTTGATTCTTCTCTCTTTTCTTCTTTATTAGTCTTGCTAGTGGTCTATCAATTTTGTTGATCTTTTCAAAAAACCAGCTCCTGGATTCATTAATTTTTTGAAGGGTTTTTTGTGTCTCTATTTCCTTCAGTTCTGCTCTGATCTTAATTATTTCTTGCCTTCTGCTAGCTTTTGAATATGTTTGCTCTTGCTTCTCTAGTTCTTTTAATTGTGATGTTAGGGTGTCAGTTTTGGATCTTTCCTGCTTTCTCTTGTGAGCATTTAGTGCATTTAGTGCTATAAATTTCCCTCTACACACTGCTTTGAATGTGACCCAGAGATTCTGGTATGTTGTGTCTTTGTTCTCATTGCTTTCAAAGAACATCTTTATTTCTGCCTTCATTTCATCATTTACCCAGTAGTCATTCAGGAGCAGGTTGTTCAGTTTCCATGTAGTTGAGCAGTTTTGAGTGCGTTTCTTAATCCTGAGTTCTAGTTTGATTGCACTGTGGTCGGAGAGACAGTTTGTTATAATTGCTGTTCTTTTACATTTGCTGAGGAGTGCTTTACTTCCAACTATGTGGTCAATTTTGGAGTAGGTGTGGTGCTGAAAAGAATGTATATTCTGTTGATTTGGGGTGGAGAGTTCTGTAGATGTCTATTAGGTCCGCTTGGTGCAGAGCTGAATTCAATTCCTGGGTATCCTTGTTAACTTTCTGTCTTGTTGATCTGTCTAATGTTGACAGTGGGGTGTTAAAGTCTCCCATTATTATTGTGTGGGAGTCTAAGTCTCTTTGTAGGTCACTAAGGACTTGCTTTATGAATCTGGGTGCTCCTGTATTGGGTGCATATATATTTAGGATAGTTAGCTCTTCTTGTTGAATTGATCACTTTACCATTATGCAAACCCATCTTTTCTTACCACTAGTTCTCTAAAACATGTAAGCATATGTCTGCTGTAGGACAGACTATACCAGTAAAACAACAACAACAAAAAACCTGTGTTTTCATCTGTTAATAAATTCAAGAACTCAAGGATACACTCATAAAACTGCATACTATTTTTTGTCATCTCATTATACCCAGGTTATTTTCCTGTATTCACATCTTCCCAAAATATCTGTCTTCTCTTTACCTTAGATCCTCTTGATAAGTTCTCAGGAAATAGAAATTGATTTCCTTAAACATTCATTATTTTATTTAACAAATATTTGTTTAGTGCCTGAAAGCACAAGCCACTGGGCCAAGATTGATTAAAGAAAAACACAATGAGGATCACAGTTCTCCTGCAACAAGAACATCAATAATAAATTGTAATATTCAACTTTCCTATTTGCCAAAGTGAGCAGACAATCTTACATCAGTCAACTGGTGACTCAAATTGTCTATTCCCAGAATAAACACTTTGTTTCATCCATGATAGGCCCTTGATGGAGCAGAACAGAATCGTATTTGACATTCACTGGATTTGGCAACTGCCATCACTGCTTAATCAGTTACTCATAAGCATTCTTCATCTGTCATTATTGTTTCTAAATTACAAACAAGTCAAGGATCAACAATTATCAAGTACTTTGGGATTTAATCAAAATAAACCCAATGGGGTACATCATTAATATCCCAATTCCACAATCTTCCCTTCCATTGTACTCCCGATAATAATTGTTCCAATCTAGCAGATAAGTACCTCTGAGTTATTTTTTCTTTCTTATTTATCAACAACCACAAGACCACATTTCCTTACAGATGAACCACACATCTTCAGTTTGTGATTGTATTCCCTTAGTGCACAAAGGAACTGAGCAAGAATTAGGAAATATAAGGTAAACATTCTGGCTAAAAGAATAATTACTATATTGATTTTCTGCTTAATGCCACAAAATGCCTTTGTTTCTAAAACTCCACCTCTCTTCCGTCAAATATGAACAAGAAAATGACCTTTGCATTATTTCAAACTAAATCATACATCATAATATGTCAATTGCTTTATAAAAGGTCAAAAAATATTTTCCAATATAGAGATTGCTAGTCCAGAAGGCAACATACATATATTTTTAATTATACTGTTTAAATATAAATATACACACATACAAGGTAATCTTTCATTCTGAAACATCCCTTGCCATGACTTTGAGAAAACTGGAAAACACTTAAATTCCTCAAAGACATTGCACAAGTCTTTCATTTTTTGCATACTTTCTAGAGCACATATTGTCAGCAAGGACTACCAGAAAGTTGTACCAAAATTGCTGGCTACATACATATGATGAAAGGAAAATTAAATAATCCATTATCTGTAGAATATAAGCTACTTAGTAGTTACAGTTCTTAACAAACTTGTACTTTAATATTAATGTACATAGCATAATATAATTATAGTAAATAAATTATATCTAGAATATAATACAATAATATATATGTACTATAAATATGTATAATATACTACATAAGGTATAGTATAATATAAATTCCAAAGTTTTTACCACTGATAAAATACCAACAAGTTGCCTAAATAAATTTGTTTATGTATACGTACACTTTCTTCATAAACAGTTTAAAAAACTGCTGAAGGTGTAGAACCAACCTAGTTAATTCTCAGACAAATCTACACAATGTCTATTTTTGAAACTACAGATTATAGAAAGAAGAGCAAAGGCATTATTACATCATGACCTTCTATGGAAATGAAAACATATCTTCAAGTTTTCATGTCAAAACCTCTTGTTATCTAAATTATCTTTCTCGGTATATAACTTCTTGGAGATAAAAAAAAAGTAAGTTATTTGGATTAAATATCAGGGTTTCTGAGGGAGATACAGGTATGTCAAAATATAGCAGAACTAATAAGATGTAATTCCAGTCACCAGGAATCGATATGCTGAAATGTATTTTAAATCACTGAATTACTCAAATCTACTGTATAGTTAAGATATGAGCACAGCAAGCCACAGAAACCAGCTCTGGCAGCTCCATGCAAAAGGGTGGTGCTGGACATTTCTCTAAGTGATCTTGAACGGACCCAGTTTTCTCCTTTTTCACATTTGTAGATGTCAAGAGTAACTATGGAATGTGCTGGGAATGCAATATCCTAAAATAGAGAAGAACTGGCCAGAACAATTTAGGCTCTGTTCCAGTCCCTACTAGAAAAAGGGTCTGCTTTTGCATGTTAGCCCAGGATGGCATGTTGCCCTCTGTTATAAAACCTGGGCTGGGATGGTTTCTGGGGTTCCTCAGCTCTGGTGCAAGTGAGACATACACTGAGGAAATACCATCCACCATGGCAGACTCCCTTGGCCTTGGAAGACTGGCTGGCTCTGAATCCTAGGCCTCTGTTGTTCCTTGCTGCCAATCTGTTTGTAATAAGTCCAATCAGCTTCATTAACTTGTTATGTGTGGGTGTGTTCTGTCTCACTAGACTTAGAGAAGTTAGTACCTAGTGCACAGTGACCTTGCTTCACAAAGATGGTGCAGTGAGCAGTGTCCTCCTTGATAGAATCATGGCTTCCTGGTGAAGCTGAAAAGACAATAACCCCCAGGACCTGACCCAAGAAAAAATGTCAGCCTAGGGATGTAGGGACCAGACATGCAGCTGGATGAGTTATGGGAAAGGAAGCTCAATAAATGGGACGTAGGTCACTCCCAATGGATGTGAACGAATTGGCTGCATGGATTGAGGCAAAGAAAAAGGAATATGGAAACGGGGAAGCACAGAATACAGTTCTCTGGTTGTCAGACATGTATGTGATCACTCATTCCTGGGACCAGAGGGCTCAAAAAGTAAATGCTCATAAGGACCCTGAGGCATTTGAGAGGGAACCAACATGTGCAATTTGAGCCTTCACAGAAACGGAGACTTGTGATCTAAAGGACAAATATGAGGAAAAGCCAGGCAAGTCTTAGGCAGCTTGGTTGGTGTGTTTGTTTGACAAAGGGACATTGCAGGCCCAAATGTCTCAAATTTAATGGTGTAATTAGTGATAGGGCCAAATAGTGCAGTTAGAAATAGGGTCCCCACTGGAGGCCAGTGGCCTTTACTCCTGTCAGGATTAAAGGGAAAAGAGAAAAACATTAAGCTGATGACATTAGGAGGTTTTGAGACAAATGAGGTCACCCATGTTGCTTATGTGCTTATGGGTCAGGCCTTTTGGGGCATTTCAGGTACCGATGAGCATGGTTCCCCCACTCAGTGCATTATAGACATTGACATTTTGACGATTTGTGGTGCAGAATATCACTGCCACCTGCAGAGGTATGACCCCTCTTAGCTAAAAATTCATGCCATAACAGTGGGGCATATCTACTCCTGCCTGCCACCTAAACTACCCAAGTCCAAATGAGTTATTCAGCTAAAGTGGTATTCCATACTAAGTAGAGAGTAGCACATTACCTGGTTAACTGAGGAATTGCTATAAACAAAAATATTACAAACCACCATGTCACAAAGTAACACTACAGTTGGGCTGCTCAAAAAGACCTCTAGAACATTAAGACTATTACAGGATGAATGCCAGGGCCAGTTAGATGGGAAGCCAAATGAATATTCAGATACAGTTAAGAAAATACTATTGGCTTTGGTGGCACCAGCTAAGTAAAATGGAGGCCAGCAGCCAAGAGGCCTCTGGGTACTGAAGATGGTGTACCCCACCTTAGTGTTCTTTTGGTCATCATAATCAAAGTGGCCAACAAAGCCATCAACTTTGAAAGGCTTTGAAATAGCAGGACTGAGAAACCATTCAAAAAGTTGTGGCCCAGGCACTGCCTTTGCAACTTTCAGAGCCTGCTAGCCCATTGGAATTACAGAAGTCTGCAACTTGTGTGCATACTGATTGTCATCTGGGGCAACAGAAAACTGCCATTGGGCTGCCGTAGCACTTTATAAGTTTCCTGATATAGCCAACAGATATACTCCCTTTTTGAATGGCAGCTCCTTGCTCACTATTGGGCATTGATAAAAAGAGAATGTTTTATGGCCAGAATGCCACATGTGATTGCTGCAATAGGAACTGCCTATTTTTATGTGTTTGCCTACAAACCTCACCAGTAAAATTGGACAGGCTTGGCAGAGCCTACTTATCAAATGGAAAGCATACATTTAAGGTTGGCTTGAGCTAGAATTCCGGGGAAGCAGTGGGCTCCATGAATAAATGGCTAGCTTTCTAGAATGCTAGAAAGTGACCCTCAGGAGATGCTTTGGCTCCTCCTTTGCCTACTGATGGTATGGCATGATTCACTGATGCCCCTACAAAACTAAAAGCAGACAGGGTCCACAGGACTGCAGCCCCCATCTGGTGAGTGAATGGCCATATTTTTACTGAGGCTGAACATGAACATTCTGCCCCAAGGGTCAAACTACATGCACCACTGATGGCCACGCAGGCCACCACTTACCAGCCTATCTTGCTACATTTTCACCAATGTATGGGCCTTTATCTACAACCTAGCCATGTGGTCAAGAGAACAGCAACTGAGTGATTGGACTATCAATGGATCCCCTATATGGGGACAAGGGCTATGACAATAACTTGCTGCCTGGAAAGGACAAATGTGTATCACTCATATGAATGCGAGGCCTACCATCTCCTCCCTGGAAGAGAGCTTGTGATCCGACTTGCAAAGCAACTGAAGAAAGAGCATCAAGATGTCCTGCTAGTGGGGTGGTTCCCCATCTGACTAGAGTAGTATGGACACTAAACTCTGCACTATGATGTGAGGGAAACATGGCACTGCAGCACCCATTGAGAAACAATGGCCTTAGTCGGGGTAGAGGTAACCAGCCAGATGCTTGATTAGGCTACATCTGCAAATCCCAATCTCAGTGTTCCCAACCATTTCTTTCTTTTTTTCCTTTAGAGTACATGTCCTGGGGGGCAGTTTGCAGTTCAGGCCACCGTAATACCCCAGACAGGACCCCTAAGTCTTATCTGAAAACAATGCCTCCCTTGGGTCACTGCTCTCTATGGGATCCCACAGGGTTATTGGATGGAACCAAGGAATACCAGAGTGCCAGGACTCTCTAGGGACACTGGGGAAATCTAAAACCTTCAGTCAAGTGGGCAGCATTACCAAACGTGATGTTTGTACAGGATGTGACTTCCCTTCCTGAACTGGAGAGCTGTTTTAATGTTCTGGCTCAAGCAAGAAGGACAATTAGTACCTGCAGTTGTCATCACCTGGGGACTGGGACAGACAAAATTGGATAATATGTCTACCCAGCCCAAACCCTATCCATTAAGTAGAAACACCTAAAACCCCAAGAGGGGTGAAATGTAGGGCACTCATCTGTAAATCTGTTTTATTTTACAAGGATGTGGCAGCAGAGGCCTGGAAGCACAACACTTTCATTAGGCTCTCCCAGGCAGCAGCCACCTTGGGTAGCCTGACTAAGGGTTAGACCTTACTCTGTTACAGACAACAGCAACTTCTCATCCTGTCAGTGGTAAACTACACACACATTCCTAATGCCACAGCGCACGCTTCAATGTGGATTTGGCATCCACCACATGGAAGAGAATCAGAGGTGCTCTGTTTTAACTTAACTGACTCAATGCCAAAATGTCACAGCTATAACTGAGAAAACTTTGGTAGGCTTGCACTTTGACACTTTATGCTCATTTGATCACCTGAACAAGAAGTGTCCCAGTGGTGAAAATGAAAACAAGGACTGAACTGTTGTTAGCCCTCTGTGTAGGGGCTTAATGGACAATATTTTAAGAAAACCAAGTTCATGTAACTAACTCAAGACTTGGCTGGCGAATTCCAATGCCTTCGTACCCATGAATGTGTCACTGAACAATAAAGTGAGAGAAGGGTTGCTCTGTACACCTGAAAGTTACATCTTTCTCTGCAGGTGGTTCAGTGGTTCATTGGTGACTCAAATATAGGATGAGCAATGTCATGCCTGATGGATGGTGGGATCCTGCATGCTGGAAGTGCTCCTGGATATCACCCCTGGAAATGAGATGCACCACTGGCCTGGCAGGCTTACTAACTGGCTCTGGGTTCATGCCCTTTGTGAGCTCTTTGATACCAGATACAGGAGTCCGTGCTCATGAAAAAATTATACAAAACCTATTTCTGACCATAGTAAATATTGCTTCTTCCACAGCCACTGCCTTGCCAGCCTAACAGACATCCCCAACTTCCTTGGGAAGATTGTTTTAGGCAACAGAATGGATCTAGATCTATTTAGCCCAACTTGGAAGAGTATATGAAATTGCCAACACCTTCTGCTGTACCTAGATAAATTTCAGTTATTGTAGAAGCACAAGTAGAGGAGGTACAGAGGCAGGTACACTGGCTGCAGACAGTGGGACCACTGGAAGGATCTTTTTTTGACAACTTTAGTAACCTCTTACCTGGATCACTGGGATCCTGTGTTAGGTCACTGCTCTGGGCAGGCCTGAGCACCTTGCTTATGGATAGTCAAATGTACTCCTGGGCCTAGTGAAATGTATACTGCCGATGGCTCAATGATGTTGCAAAGAGATTATGTCAGTGCAGGTGTTACATCAATCTGACAAGACCAATCTTCAACTCCAAATCTGGGGAAGTCATTGGGCATAGGAAATGGAAGAACTTTGCTAAGGGGGGCCATCTGGATCAGTGGTAAACTGCAGAACAGTTCTCTGGGTGACCTTGGACTCACCCAGTTTCTCACCCTTTCCTGTTTGTAGTTCTTAAGTACAACTGTAGAATGTTCTGAGGATGTAACATCTTAATGAGAGGTGAGGCCAGCTGGACTTCCTGGGTCAAGTGGGGACTTGGAGAACTTTTCTGTCTAGCTAGAAGACTGTAAATGCACCAATCAGTGCTCTGTACCTAGCTAAAGGATTGTAAATGCACCAATCAGCACTCTATAAAAACGCACCAATCAGCGCTCTGTGTCTCGCTATAGGATTGTAAATGCACCAATCAGCACTCTGTAAAAATGCACCAATCAGTGCTCTATGTCTAGCTAAACGACTGTAAACACACCAATCAGCACTCTGTAAAATAGACCAATCAGCGCTCTGTAAAATGGACCAATCAGCAGGACATGGGCAGGGACAAATAAGGAAATAACAGCTGGCCACACCAGCCAGCAGCAGCAACCCGCTTAAGTCCCCTTTCCTGCTTTGAAAGGTTTGTTCTTTCCCTCTTCACAATAAATCTTGCTGCTGCTCACTCTTTGGGTCTGCACCAACTTTAAGAGCTGTTAACAGTCACCACGAGGGTCTGCAGTTTCATTCCTGAAGTCAGCGAGATCACGAACCCACTGGGAGGAACAAATAACTCTGGACGCACCACCTTTAAGAGCTGTAACACTCACCGTGAGGTCCACAGCTTCATTCTTGAAGTCAGGGAGACCAAGATTCCACCAGAAGGATTAAATTCTGGACACACTAAGATAGGGAGGAACTTACTAGAACAGCCAGGGCTCTGTTCCAGTTCCTCCTAGGAACAAGTTGCTCTTCAATGTTTTAGTCCAGTGGGTCATGTTTTCCTTCCCCTCGTATAAAACCTAGGGTGGGATGATTTCCAGGGTCCTGTAGCTGCAGTGCAAGTGCAGTACATTCAAACAAGACTCCATCCAACCTGGGCAGCTTTCCTGAGCCTTGGGGGACTGGCATGCCCTGAATCCTAGGCTTTTATTGTCACTTGTTGCCTCTCAGTTAGATAATAAATCTGCCTCATGTAACTTGTTTTGTGTGTGGGTGTTCTGTCTCACCAAATCAGACAAGTTAGTAACCAGTACACAGTGGACCTGCTTCACAGATGGATATCTATTTGAGCAATACTATGAATTCACAGAGCTAGTGGGAGTTTGGAGATGCAGGCTTAGAAAACAAAGATGTAAGTTAGGTCAAACAGCTTTGGAACAGAAAACACAGTCTGTTTCTTCCTAAGAGGAAAAGTTTGGGCATCATTGCTGTAGTTGATGTAGTGAATGACTCCTAAAAGTATCCTACCACATCTTTGCATCCTTTGATCAAGATTAAAAATTGCAAACAGGACTATCTAATTAACTAAACTAATTCACATTTTTGAGCCCTGGCTCTGTCAAATTGAAGTAAGAGAGGATCTGATCCTTTTAGCTTCCAGACTAGAATGTGGAGTACAATCTCTCACTAAAACTATATGAAATGCAGAATTGCTCCTCTATAGGAGGAAGGGAGTGAATACTATACAAAATTTTAAGCAAATATTTATTCTACCTAGCCATTACAGTAAAAAAAATTTCTCCACTCTACATGTATATCATTTTATACTAATCTTCGGAAGTCATGTTACTTTTTAAATTTAATTTGCTGTAATTTTTAAATGGCTAAAATACAAATCCCACAAGAAGACAAATTTGTCTGTCTTGTTCAATGTTTTATTTCTATCACCTAGACCGGATATTGGTAATATGCACACAGATAATCAAAAAACATTTGTTGAATAGATCGAATGACAAAAGAACACTAATATGTAAAAAATACTCCTCCAATTTATTTGCCCCATCCAATCCCTATGAATTACTTCTGCCACAACCTTGTGTCCTGTTTGCAACCTCAAATAATCATTATCACATAGAAGCCTTGACTAAAGGGAAGATGGAGAGCTTTCAGTCTATGTTTTACATATTTAGCAGTTTTATCCCTACATATCCTTGTAGAAAGTGAATCTTTGACCTACTTTAATAGGCAGAGTGCAGTGTTCTGGAGTTAATAATGAACTTGTGGTGATGATAAATCAAGTGTGAAACAGCTATTTCCCACTGGTCCCTTTGAAAGTGTTTCAAGCTTCTAAAAGACATTTTGTAAACACCAGTGGAATATGAATGAAAAATGTAAACTGGACTTATTGAAGAGCTTTTGTACTGAAAAGTTTCTAATGTAATTCAGAAGAAGGAGTTAAAGAAAACAATAAAGTTTTGAAAAGATTGATGATAAGTATTATGACAAAATGTCTGAAAAGGTATTCAATGTAGTTTATTCATTTATGCCCATGAGTGGGTGTGGGAGAGATAATTAGATGTCAAGATTTATGGTCAATAATTCTGGATGATACTTTTTGTCTGAAATCTTTTTGTTCTCTAAAACCCAGTCAGTTCCAGGTTCATATATGTAGGAAGGTTTCCCTGAACTTTCAAGATTATACTCTACTTTATTTTACAATGTAGCACTTTTTTTTACATTTGGCTTCTTTATCTATATTTCCCTACTCAAACATTATTCTTCCAAGTGTAAAACTACATCTTACTGGTCCTTGTACCCCAAGCATTGAGTTCAACAATATGCAGCACATAGAGCTCAATGCAGTTTCCCTGAAACATTAAGTAGTCTAGGGTGAATCCAGTCATTTAATTTTGCTGAAAATGAATAATAAATCCAATGTATGGGTTATATTAAGAAGAATGGCATGTTAAAATAACAAAAAAATTTCAATTTGTAAATTCAGAATCAAACCATGTTTTATTTGGTAAGTAATATATATTCTCAACATTTTTTAAAATAAGCAATATACAATATTTTCTGAATATGAGAAGAAAGTTTAGAGGTAATAATGTAGTTATTACCCCTCCTCTCTTAAAGAGTTAATAGAAAAGGAGAGCCAATATATGTAGTCAGGCAACAAGAAAAAATGGAAGGTAGGGAGAGAATCAAAAGTACTGAAAAGATAAAATTTTACAGCTTTGCCAGTCTGACAGATGACTCAGGAAAAAAAAAAAAGGAATAAAGACTGAAAATCCCAGTGACACCTTGTTTATGCCAATGGCTGTTTTAGGCCTATTTTAATAGAGCTTTCAGAATTCCCCAGACAACAAACTCTGTTCCTCTCAAGGTTCCTGTGTTTTTCAGAGGCCTTTGGGCATCCAGTAATTTCTTTAAAGAGTTTGGTCATCAGCAACTCCCAAACATCATAAGGAAAAAGCATCATGGAGAGCTTTCTATCTGCGTTTTACCTATTTAGCAGTTTTATCTCTACATAGCCTCAAAAGTGAATATTTGACCTACTTTCTCTGATAGGCAGGGTGCAGTCTTCTGGGGTTAAAAATGAACCTTTTCTAACAGTAAGAACTGAACGAATTAATAAGTCAAATTGTTATTATTTATACCTATATGCCATATATGTATATATAATATATACATATATAATATAAAAATCCAATTATATTTATATATATACATACATGGCATATATGTATATATAAAAATATATATTTAATTTCATATATACATATATGCCATGTATGTATATATAAAAATAATTGGATTTATTATTCATTTATTCCACTGCATATGTTGACTCTCCTGTTCTATTAACTCTTTAAGAGAGGAGGGCTAATAACTACGTTATTATCTCTAAACTTTCTTCTCATATTCAGAAAATGAAATATATACAGCCTTTACCAACTGAAAGGACTAGAAAAACGTATCTTTCATCTTCATGAATATTAGCATTAGCCACATTAGGACCCTTTTGCAGCTGAGGAAGAAGAGAAGAGTATTTTGCTAGATGCCATAAAAGAAACATTATTTTTAAGTTCTCACTTCTTTTTGAGGGACACTTGCTTGAAAATTAAGGCAATCGATCTTTTTTTCTCAAAAACTCAATGGGAAAGTAAAGCTTGTATAGGGAAAAAAAAAATTGGCTTGGTCCTTATAAACATTCAGTGTGCCACAAACATTCATCATAATGTTAAACCATTGAATTACTCTTTAAATAATATATAACATTGATGATGATGATGATGATGATAATGATGATGATGATTAAACATGATCTCACTCAGTTGTCCAGACTGGAGTGCAGTGTCACTATCTTGGCCCACTGTAACCTCTGCCTACCAAGCTCAAGTGATCCTCCCACTTCAGCCTCCTGAGTAGCTGGGACTACAGGTGTGTGCCACCATACCTGGCTAATTTTTGTATTTTTTATTTTCGCCATATTGCCCAGGCTGGTCTTGAACTCCTGGGCTCCAGGCTCCCAAAGTGCTAGGATTACAGACATGAGCCACCACGCCCAGCCTTATTATTTTTAATAGAGAAAATAAATGTAAAGAAGACAAAAACATAATTTAAAAAGCTTATTTTATACAACTTTTAGATATAATCTTTGCTAAATGCTTAGAAAAATATTTTTCTTTTTTTATTATACTTTAAGTTTTAGGGTACATGTGCACAACGTGCAGGTTTGTTACATATGTATACGTGTGCCATGTTGGTGTGCTGCGCCCATTAACTCGTCCTTTAACATTAGGTATATCTCCTAATACTATCCCTCCCCCCTCCCCCCTCCCCCCAACCCACAACAGGCCCCGGTGTGTGATGTTCCCCTTCCTGTGTCCAAGTGTTCTCATTGTTCAATTCCCACCTATGAGTGAGAACATGTGGTGTTTGGTTTTTTGTCCTTGTGATAGTTTGCTGAGAATGATGGTTTCCAGCTTCATCCATGTCCCTACAAAGGACATGAACTCATCGTTTTTTATGGCGGCATAGTATTCCATGGTGTATATGTGCCACATTTTTTTAATCCAGTCTATCATTGTTGGACATTTGGGTTGGTTCCAAGTCTTTGCTATTGTGAATAGTGCCGCTATAAACATACGTGTGCATGTGTCTTTATAGCAGCATGATTTATATTAGTTTGGGTATATACCCAGTAATGGGATGGCTGGGTCAAATGGTATTTCTAGTTCTAGATCCCTGAGGAATCGCCACACTGACTTCCACAATGGTTGAACTAGTTCATGGTTCCATCAACAGTGTAAAAGTGTTCCTATTTCCCCACATCCTCTCCAGCACCTGTTGTTTCCTGACTTTTTTAATGATTGCCATTCTAACTGGTGTGAGATGGTATCTCATTGTGGTTTTGATTTGCATTTCTCTGATGGCCAGTGATGATGAGCATTTTTTCATGTGTCTTTTGGCTGTATAAATGTCTTCTTTTGAGAAGTGTGTGTTCATATCCTTTGCCCACTTGTTGATGGGGTTGTTTGTTTTTTTCTTGTAAATTTGTTTGAGTTCATTGTAGATTCTGGACATTAGCCCTTTGTCAGATGAGTAGATTGCAAAAATTTTCTCCCATTCTGTAGGTTGCCTGTTCACTCTGATGGTAGTTTCTTTTGCTGTGCAGAAGCTCTTTAGTTTAATCAGATCCCTTTTGTCAATTTTGGCTTTTGTTGCCATTGCTTTGGAACAATACAGAGAAGATTAGCATGGCCCCTGCGCAAGGATGACATGCAAATTTGTGAAGAGTTCCATATTTTTAACAGGCTCTGAAATTGAGGCAATAATTAATAGCTTACCAACCAAAAAGTCAGGACCCGATGGATTCACAGCCAAATTCTACCAGAGGTCCAAGGAGCAGCTGGTACCATTCCTTCTGAAACCATTCCAATCAATAGAAAAAGAGGGAATCCTCCCTAACTCATTATATGAGGCCAGCATCATCCTGATACCAAAGCCTGGCAGGGACACAACAAAAAAAGAGAATTTGAGAACCATATCCCTGATGAACATCGATGCAAAAATCCTCAATAAAATACTGGCAGACTGAATCCAGCAACACATCAAAAAGCTTATCCACCATGATCAAGTGGGCTTCATCCCTGGGATGCAAGGCTGGATCAACATAAGCAAATCAATAAATGTAATCCAGCATATAAACAGAACCAATGACAAAAACCAGATGATTATCTCAATAGATGCAGAAAAGGCCTTTGACAATATTCAACAACTCTTCATGCTAAAAACTCTCAATAAATTAGGTACTGATGGGACGTATCTCAAAATAATAAGAGCTATCTATGACAAACCCACAGCCAATATCATACTGAATGGGCAAAAACTGGAAGCATTCCCTTTGAAAACTGGCACAAGACAGGGATGCCCTCTCTCACCACTCCTATTCAACATAGTGTTGGAAGTTCTGGCCAGGGCAATCGGGCAGGAGAAGGAAATAAAGGGTATTCAATTAGGAAAAGAGGAAGTCAAATTGTCCCTGTTTGCAGATGACATGATTGTATATCTAGAAAACCCCATCATCTCAGCCCAAAATCTCCTTAAGCTGATAAGCAAATTCAGCAAAGTCTCAGGATACAAAATCAATGTGCAAAAATCACAAGCATTCTTATACACCAATAACAGACAAACAGAGAGCCAAATCATGAGTGAACTCCCATTCACAATTGCTTCAAAGAGAATAAAATACCTAGGAATCCAACTTACAAGGGATGTGAAGGACCTCTTCAAGGAGAACTACAAACCACTGCTCAATGAAATAAAAGAGGATACAAACAAATGGAAGAACAATCCATGCTCATGGGTAGGAAGAATCAATATCGTGAAAATGGCCATACTGCCCAAGGTAATTTATAGATTCAATGCCATCCCCATCAAGCTACCAATGACTTTCTTCACAGAATTGGAAAAAACTACTTTAAAGTTCATACAGAACCAAAAAAGAGCCCGCATCACCAAGTCAATCCTAAGCAAAAGAACAAAGCTGGAGGCATCAGGCTACCTGACTTCAAACTGTACTACAAGGCTACAGTAACCAAAACAGCATGGTACTGGTACAAAAACAGAGATATACACCAATGGAACAGAACAGAGCCCTCAGAAATAATGCCGCATATCTACAACTATCTGATCTTTGACAAACCTGACAAAAACAAGCAATGGGGAAAGGATTCCCTTTATAATAAATGGTGCTGGGAAAACTGGCTAGCCATATGTAGAAAGCTGAAACTGGATCCCTTCCTTACACCTTATACAAAAATTAATTCAAGATGGATTAAAGACTTAAATGTTAGACCTAAAACCATAAAAACCCTAGAAGAAAACCTAGGCAATACCATTCAGGACATAGGCATGGGCAAGGACCTCATGTCTAAAACACCACTAAAATATTTTTCAATAGCAAAATATTTCCTGAATGTTGTTTTCCTTGGTATATGTCAAATTAAAGAGAAATATATAGTTGAAAATAAATGGAATGTTTTCTTTAATCCCCTGCCCCATAGGCCCTAGTCCTTGTAGTGAGGACAACAAAGTGTAGCATTCCCTAGCACTCTGTGATGGATATGAGGCATGAGAAAGAACTAGACTATTGTTTCAATGTACTGAGATTTTGAGGTTGTTGATTTCCAATTATAATCTGGCCTATTTTGATAGATATGGAAGTCAGATTAATTATTCTTTATTTATTTTATTATTTAAAAAATTTTTTTGAGGCAGGGTCTCACTCTGTCATCCAGGCTAGAGAGCACTGGCCCAATCATAGCTCACTGTAGTCTCCAACTCCTGGGCTCAAGTGATCCTCCTACCTCAACCTCTTGAGTATCTGGGACTACCAGTGTGCCCACCACATCCAGCTAATTTAAAATGTGGATATTGGATCTCACTATGTTGTCCTGGTCGGTCTTAATCTCCTGGCCTCAAGCCATCTTCCCACCTTAGCCTCCCAAAGTGCTGTGATTTCAGGCATGAGCCACCGCATCCAGCCTTATTCTTTATTTTACAGTATTCATATTTATATTTTATTATTTTATGTTTCCTCTTTCTCTTCTTTAACTTAAAATATCTATGTATGTTAGTTTATATTAATCTACTTTATTCTTTTTAATGGATGTATAATATTTTATTGAATTAATGTAACATGATTGATATGTCAAATTGGTGGAAAGAATATTAAATGTAGCAGAGGATAACTTTATATAAATCAAAGCTTCCATAAACAACAAAAGTGTTTGAATATAGTAGAAATAATGAATATGGTGGATTTAGAAACAAGCCTAGGATAAAAATAAGATTAAAGAGGAACAGGTAAAATATGTAAGATGTTTGCTGCAAAAAGTAAACTGTTAAGAAAGAGACTCACAGAAGCATGAGAAGAGCTGCTAACCGCTGTATAAACATCATGAGGTAAGCTGGTTTTTGATATTTGTGTTTATTGTAGGAAAGAGAATAGCACCTGACACATTCACCTATTTGGGGTTTAATACATACTTGTGAAGTAATGCTAATAAAAATAAAAATCACTCCTAACACTTATTAGAAATTTTTATTTGTTCAACTCCATGTTCTGTGCAAAGTGCTTAAAGTAATCCCTGGAAAGGCCTCTTCAGTAAGTTTTCATTTGCTATATTCATTTAGTGAACTATTTCTAGATTCCCCTTTTTTTCACAACCACTTGTAATCCATCAGTAAGTTCTGTGTTCACTACTTTCAAGATATATCTGAAATCTGACCACTTTTCATCACTGTCACAGCTCCCTTCTAGTCCAAACCATCTTCTTTTTTAGACAAGCCTAATATAATAACCTTCTAACTAATTTCCTTGCTCCCACATTTGCCTCCCTGCAGTTACTTTTCATCTAGCAACAAAATAATGTTTTCATCATGTAAATCTAATCATGTCATTCCTCTTACTCAAAGCCCTCCAAGAAGACAGTAATCTAAAGCCCTCATCATGGTTTACAAGAACATCTATTTCCCCAATGCTGTCTCCTGCTATTCTTCACCCAGCTCACTGGGCTCCAGGCACACTGGCTTCTTTATTTTCAATCAAATGCCCAAGTTCATTCCTCCTTAAAACTCCTTCACCCTCTGTCTATCCTATACCTTGAAAGATCCTCTCCCAGAAGTTCATACAGCAATTTCCTCACTTCATCAAATCCTCAGGCAAAGGCCATTTCCTAAGAGCAACTTTCTCTGACTTCCCTGTCCAAAATACCCTTACCATATAACCACTTACAATGCTGTAGTTTGCTTCCTATAATTAATCATTACTATATATTAGTAATACTTTTACTTTTTTGTTTACTGTTCATCTGACCTATTGTAATGTACATTTCATGAATATAGGAACTTCATCTGCTCTGTTCTGTATCTCGAGCACCTAACAGAACTATTTGATACCTGGGGGCTTCAACAAGTATTCATGAAATAAATATCAAAAAAGAACGCTTTGTTTAAGGGTGTCAGTTTTTGTTTTTAAGCTTGAGCTATTATGAATTACCTTTTTTGTTAAGTGCTCTGTGTTCTAAATTGTCAGGGTTTAACAGAAACCCAGTTAAAGGCTGGGGAGTTTTGTATATTATATAATCTGGATTTGTTAAGATTTTTGTTGGGATTAATAGTATTGATGCAACTGCTTAAGTCGTAAAAGCTCAACTTAGCTTATGTTGGCAATTGAGGGTGGTCATAAGTAAGATGTTTTCTCTCCTGAGTGTATCAACCCTTTACAAACCAAGAAGCAGAGTCCAGGACAAGGGACCCCATTGAATAGCTTGCCTATTCCATCAGCTTTAGAGATACATCAATTCTGTCACTCTCTGCTTTGCACACTTTCCAATTAACCGGTTATTTCTAGAGAAAGGGTAACTTCTATGCAATTTGAAATTTCAGTTCAAAAATACCAGAAAGGGTTTTACCACATGATCCTATTTAATTATTGCAATCACTTAACAGGTTAAGTTTTTTTTTCGATAATTGAATTTGACTAATTTAATTACAATCCATATGACAATACATGTTTGCATTGTATAAGTTAAGACACTGACTCCTCTCTCTAGCTCCAGAGTTTGTTCTCCCACACAGTCACTGCATTCAAATGCTAGGTCAAATACTTCCTAGCTATGTGACCTTAAATGGGTTGCTTAACCTTTTAAGGTATTATCTTTATTTAACATAAAATAGAAATAATAATAGTATTCATGTGATAGAGTTATGGTATGATTGAACAAATGAATGCTCCTGTAAGCTACCTATCCAATCAACAAGAGTAGCAGGGATTCTTAGTGGGAGGTAAACATCAGAATTGTCTGAAGACAACTGTCATAGCCCCAGCTGAGCATTTTTGCACTAAATTCTAGAATATAATATAGAGCAGTTGTTTCTTTGCAATCATTTGAAAGGAGCTTAAATTACTAAAATAGCAGTAGCCTCTCATTATTATTAGAATCCTCTCATAACTATTCACCATGCTTCCTTTGCAATTTGCCTTTACTGGATTAAATATTTATTGATTTGGCCAGGCATGGTGGCTCACGCCTGTAATCCCAGCAGTTTGGGAGGCCGAGGCAGGTGGATCATCTGAGGTCAGGAGCTCAAGACAAGCCTGGCCAACATGGTGAAATCCCATCTCAACTAAAAATACAAAATTAGCTGTGCATGACGGTGCATGCCAGTAATCCCAGCTACTCGGGAGACTGAGGCAGGAGAATCACTTGAACCCGGAAGGCAGAGGCTGTGGTGAGCTGAGATCATGCCATTGCACTCCAGCCTGGGCAACAATTCCGTCTCAGAAACAAAAAAAAATGTATTGATTTAAAGAATATGTTTACGGTATAACTCTGAAGTTATATTTTACAGATGAATGCTCAGTGGTTAGTATCACTAATGCTAGAATCACAGTAAACTAAATTCAAATCTCAACTCACACTCTTCATAGTTGTATGACCTTGAATAAGGTAATAGTAAGGTTTAGCTAATATATTATATTATATTATATTATATTATATTGTATTGTATTGTATTATATTATATTATATTATATTATATTATATTATATTATATTATATTATATATTATAGCTAGATTATCAAGCTAGCTGACTTTCCAGTTATATATGACTAGGGGCACAAACCCTCTGGACTGATTAACCTCAGAATAACAGTAACTGTGGAGGTTAATATCTGCTGAGCACATGATATAGGTCTCGCATTCTGCTAAGCACTCTGCCTGGATTACATCATCTAATCAACACAGGTGACCTATAACATTGGTATTACTATTTATATCTCTTTTTACAGATAATAAAAATAAAGTAAAATATTTTGTTTATGTTCTGTAAGTTAGCAAGTGATCAAGCTCTTAATTAAATCTATATCACTCTGACATCACCGCTGTTGTCAATCCAGTGTTGAGTGCTTTCCAGTGTTTTTAAGTAGCCTATACTTTTCTAAATGAGATCTCTTGAAAAACCCAATAAATAAAGCAGAGAAAAGTAGAACTTCCATAGCTTAAGAAAAAATGAGGGGGCCATAAATCCAACTCTCTTTGACTCATTGCCTCCTTGAGGTGGACCCTCCGTGAACCAAGAGTATTCTGAGGTACATATTGAAAATTATTTATCTAAGGCAACCCTTAACTCTCTAGAGTAGTCCTCATCTCTAGCACATAGTGTGATTTATATTTAACCGTTTATTTATTATAATTTTTTTTTGAGACAGAGTCTCACTCGGTCTCCCAGGCTGGAGTAACGTGGTACACACTCAGCTCACAGCAACCTCTGCCTCCCTGGTTCAAGCGATTCTCCTGCCTCAGCCTCCCAAGTAGCTGGGATTACAGGTGCCCGCCATCACACACAGGTACTTTTTGTATTTTCAGTGGAGACAGGGTTTCACAGTGTTGGCCAGGCTGGTCTCAAACTCCTGACCTGAAGTGATCCGCCCACCTCAGCCTCCCAAAGCTCTGGGGTTACCGGCGTGAGCCGCCACACCTGGCCATTTAATTAATTTTTAATTGTTATTAAATTATGGATTTTAATTAAATTGGTTAAATTCAATTATCGAAAGAAAATTTTATTAGATTAGAAATTTTAATTTAAAACTAATTTAATTTTTATTAAAATTACAAATAATAAAATATGTAGTTCCTCAGTCCCACTGTCTCTATTTTGAATGTCGAATGGAATCTATATCAGATAGCACAGATATAGAACATTTTCATCATAACAAAGTTTTATTGGACAGTGCTTATTTAGACTAGATCCCCACTAACACTTCCGTTACAATTAGAATAAAACCCATCCTCCTTACTGTAGCATTCCTGGGCTGATATGTTCTGGCCCTTGCCTACTTCTTTGACTTTACTTCATAGCAATCTCTGTTATTCACTATGTTTTAGACACAGTGGCTTTCCTATGTCCCTCTGATACACAAAACTTTGTTGAGACCTTTGCATTTGTTTATATCTGCCCATTACATCCTTTCCCTAGGTAATCCCACGTGGCTGCCTTCCTCTAATCTTTCAGATACTAGCTCAAATATTGTCTTCTCAAAGATCCCTTTTTCAATTAGTCCATCTAAATTAACCCTTCCATCTCATCCTTTTCAATTCCATTACCCTACTGTATTTTCTTACAACATTTGCCACATTTGGAGTTCTGTTGTCTGTGTTCTCATATGTTTAGTGGTTTTATTCTTTCATTCTTGTATGTAAACCCTAGGTATTCAGGGAACTTGAATGTCCTGTTTACAGGAGACTCTAAGCTCAATGACTAACTGTACTAGTTACTCAATAGCCATTAGTTGAATGAATACATGAAATAAATTTAGAAATTCAGAAATTAAGGCCCAAAGAGAGGTTAAGTCACTTGTCTAAGGTCACACAGGTAAACGGTGAACCTATGGACTTTGAATCCAAATAGGTTTTCACTCTGGCCCTGGGACTACCATAAATAATTATTACTCAGAGCGAAGGTCAGGAGGAAGATTATGCTCAGGAAATACTTCAACACCTAGTGAAAAAATGCTAGGATTCAGGCTACCCCAGGAAGAGTGATGGAATCATGGATACAGCTCACGATATTAAGTCAGATGCAACAGCAGCTGTTGACATCTCGGGGGAGCCGTGAAGTGGGCACTTGAACTTTGACTGCACTGAAATGATGTCACTTGCCAAAGACAGCCATCTAACCTCAAAGGCTAAAAAGTGCCCGGCACAGGATACCAGAGTGGTTCAATTAATAGCAAGAAATTTTCATAGAACAGAGAAAGAAAGACATCAGAGGCTAACCAGAAGACTAAGGTGGAGAGAGGCAACAGTAGATCAGAGAGTTACTGAGAACAAGTATTAAGGCGATCAGCCAGCAGCACTAATGGAGGGTCAGAAGGAATTGATGGTTAGTTACTAGCAGGCCCTGAGCACAGCTGGTAGCCGCAGGAAGAGCTGGCAGGGTGAGAGGTAGGAGCAGCTAATCAAACTGTCTAATGGGCTGATTAGACAAGCAGTGGGATCAACCACCAGGGGTAGGCGATTCAACTGCCAGAGGATCAGAGGGACAGGAAAGGCAAAGACAGAACAAGGTCAGTCAGGGGCCTGAGTAAAAGGGAAGATGATTGGGTGGCAGTCTGATCAGCCAGCTGTGACAGCTCATCAAACAATAAAGGGAGCCAACTGTAGTAGTAGCAAGGAGGGCCGAGGGGACGGAACAGTTTACAGAGCGGGATAATCTCGCAGTCAGAAAAGCTAATCAAAGCTGACAGGAGCTCCTCAGAGCTAGGGGCGGGACTAGTGAATTTGCAGCCAGTGCCTTTGGTCAAGGGTTTATTTTTTCACATCATAAGCAGAGCATGCAGCTCAGCTGCTTTCTCTGCTGTCCCAAGGCTCAGGGGACTGAGATTTGAAGACTCGTTGACAAAGTAGGGCAGAGATGCCAAGTCCCAGCTCCTATAAATATGGCAGCCTAGACCAGGAGCTGAGACCTGATTGAAAGCCTGGCCAGCCTGATTTACCCAGGCAAATACATATGCAAGCATTCCTCTTTTTGTTCTTTCCTTTTTCTTGTTTTCCCTTCTTTTTTCATCTTTTCTTTTTTTTTATTTTAATCATAACACCTGCACTCTTAGAAAAATTGCATCAAGGATTCTGAATGTAAAAGTTTAGGTCAAAATATGACATATCTTAAATATATCAGAAATATCTGCCCTTTGTTTTTTAAACTTCAGATACAGACTCAACACACTTAACCCTTTTGTCCTTTTTTTCTCCCCACCAAGCCACTACATATTTTCTTTTTTGTTATAACACACAAAGACACACATTTAAATACTTTAAAATTGCACTCTTGTGAATTGATTATATAATGGATTTTCTTAAAGCAGAAAATAAATGTCCAACTTGAAAAACAACAATTTTCCCTATCTTCTTTCTGTTGTTGCTAATAGGAGTCCATCACCATCAAACCCATCTTTCATGTTTAGAAGAATAATTGTTGTCCTATAACCTATATTTCCCTTGTCTATGATGACTTGGGAATTTAGAGGCACATAATAACAACAAGAATAACTACCTTCTTTGAGTGCTTACTTGGAAATACTCTATCCTATAAGAACCTATTGATACTTCCACTTTACTGGGAAATGAGGCCCATAGAAGTTAAGATTAACCAAAGCCACACACACTAGGATGCAGTTAAATTGAAACTCAAATGCTGCTTCACTTATCCACCATGTCACATCACCTTTATGTTTCAAACAACATTAAGAAATACAAGATGAAAACTTGCATAAGGTTTTACTACTCTTCCCACTTTTGTTCTTACACGGAATAGACTAAAGAAAGCTTTCTACCAAGGCTTAAAATTTCTGTGCATTATGAAAAGCAAACGGCATGCTTTTAGAATATAGCAGGTGAAATTATTTCAAGAAGTGACATAGCTATATTTGGTAGGTGTTACAGCAGCTGTGAATTAAGCATGGGCTCCAGCATATCCCTCTCTGACCTTCTGCATCATCTGGAAAAGGATCGGGAATAAAAAAAAATTAAAATGTTATTTTAGTGTGTGAATTAATTCATTCAATATTAACTAAGCTTGAAACCACAATAATTAAAACGATGTGGTATGAGAACAAGAATAGACAGGTTGATTCAAATTTAAATTCAAGTAAGTACAGGATTTAAATTAGTCTAAAGGTGACATTGCAGATCACCAAAGGAAACAAGAACTTCCTACTGTTCCTAGGTTAATTTTCTTACTATAGAAAAAAGCAGTAAGATCCTTGTTTTAAAACAAATACCAAAATTAATTCCAGATAGATTAAACTTAAATTTGGTAGACTCTGTGTTGGAATATACGTAGCCACTGTATTAAAAAAAAAAAAAAAATCTTCAGTAATGTGTTTGCCTTTCAACACAACACTTTTAGTGAATGCCCATCACATCATTGTTTACTCTAACCATGATGAAAGGCTACCTGTGAGACAAATGTTACACAACAGGGGATCTCATAAATAAAATATGAAGCATGCTTATAAAAAACGGGTCCTATGCTATCACTCCCAACAAATTGTGCTGAAAGCCTCATATATTACCCTGTAACTATAAAATAAAACCAATATTTTCATGAAATATGTAAAATAGATGTAATGTATGTCTAGGTAAACTACTGTAAATTACGTCAGAAAGGGCACTTTTGGTGATAGTGCCAGTTATATCCCAGGTAGTGCCTGTACTAGTCAGCATGGTGGTTTATATTGAGTAGACACATAATATATATGTGACGAAGTCAATTTTATTTTCCTGAAATGATTCCATAATTCTCTAGTTAATTTTAAAATGTCTTTGTATCTTCATGATCCCGTTTGATTATGCATAGGTAAATGCTTAAAAGCTAACGCTTTACTCAAACAGCTTTTATTTTCCTAACTGGTATTTAAACCTTATTACATTAATACTTTCTTAATGTTTTATTTTGGCCTGCTTCCAGTCCTCTTGTAAACCAGTGAATCAGAATGACTAACTAAGTACCAGTAAGAAACACTGGGAGGTTCCTCATGTCTTCAATCTCTCTCTTCCCCAACAAATGTAGCCCCAAAAGAATTTTTTCTTACGTAAATTTTTGAAGGATTTAATATCTTTCCAAGCTTAGCTATAAGTGAAGAATCAGACTCCATGTTATTACATTACACATGAGCCTTTCATAGAAGTAGTACATTTTTAGCTGCCTACCCTCTCTCTAGGAGACAGGAAAAAAGTTATTATTTTTAAGTAGTTATATGACATGAATCATAATGATTATTTTGGTCATGCTTCAAACTCCAAAGCATTACATAAAGAAGGCATACCTTGGAGAAACTGAACAAAAACACAAGAATCCTAAGCATTGGGCTAAAGAACACATTGGTTTAGTTTGAAAATGGTTTAATTTGAAACCTGAATATTATCAGTAGATAGAAATGATAATTCACAATCAAGCCAGAAGAAACTTGCTTTTTTTGTCAATTTTCTTTAAAGATTTTAAATGTCACATTCAAACATACAACTCTAACAACAACTCTCTCTCTCTCTTTCTCTCTCTCTCTCTCTCTCTATATATATGTATATATACACGAGTTCAAAATTAACACATTGTATTACCACATCTAATATGCCTTCGTTCTTGATAAAATGTAAGAAAAATTTCAGTTTCAAAGGAAAGGACACCACTTTTGGTTAAACCCTAACATTTTTCTCAGATTTACAGTATTCTGTAAGACAAGCATAATTTTCCACCAGCTCGGGACATGAACTGGTATTAAAACTTAGCTCTTAAAAAATGTTACTGGAATTATGACTAAAGAAAAAAATTAAGTTAAACTTGAAATGGGCCTAACTATTGATGAGAGCTTGAATTTCAGGAAACAAGGATGGCTCACAAACCATACTGACAATCATAATAATCATTCATGTCAACCATCACCACAGCATCATTGTGTTTCAACTTTACCGAATCAGCAGTGAACAATCTTATCATCCTTATGTTAACACATAAACAGTTTACCTTTGAAAAAGCAGAGTCTTACCAGGGGTATATAAAACATTATCTCCAATACAGAAGGGTTTGAAAGACTCTATCTTCCAAGAGAATGGGGGATCGTTGAATTATAAACAATGTGTTCATTTTTAAGGCATGTCAATCATTTGAAATAATATTACTTTGTAACTTAATCTCAGATATATTTACTTAAGACAGAGTAAATCTGTAATAATATGATGGCAGTCCTAAAGAGGGAGATCATTTTCAATACAGCACATTCAGTTCAGTTTTGTTTACTTGTTTTTTTTATATTACTATTGTTCACTATTGAGAAGGAAATTATATTGATGAAGTCCCTGCATTTGTAATAATGATAGTTGAGGAACATAAATATAAGAGCATGAATCAGTCAAAAATAAGTGAATGATTCTGGGATTGAATCCAAATTTTATTTAAACCAAATTAGTTAACCCATTGCTTGGCCAATATACAAATTCATAGTTAGGCTAATGGAAGAATATCTAGAGCAGAAGTAGCATGCTCAAATACTTACAGAGGCCAGGATGGTATTATAAATGTTGAATATAGAATGATGAAGAATATTAGGTCCCCCATAAACCTTCAAAATTCAATAAAAATAACTATAGAAGGGCAGTGTTACTTTCAGCCATAAGTTGCCACTTTTGATATGGTGAAATGACTAGAGTATGTAACTGCATCCCCAAATGAAGGAGCCCAATATTAGAATCCCATGTAAGAGACAACCAAGTCTGTGACCAGTTATTATTCTTTGCTCAAGAGGCTGTCCAATTTGCCTCTTGCTAAGGAGATAAGATACAGTCATAGTTCCCAAGAAGCTGATAGTTTGAGTTTATAAGTTAATACCTAGTGAATAACAATTAATTATGACAAATACTATAGTAAATGTAAGTACAGAAAAGAGAACCATCTAGTGAAAATAGAGGTAGTGATATCTGCATTAAGTCATTAAGTATAAATAGGAATTATTCAGCAATGAAAGTGGGGAGACTCCGCAGGCAGGAAAACAGCATATTGTACATGTTAGTGATCAGTCTTCCTTGTCATTCTCTTGCCTTCTTTATTTCTCAACCTACAATAACTACAATAGCTAGCTAGCTAGAGCTCACTCAGTAAATAGCTATTATTACTATAGTGGCACAATTGGTTGATGTTTTGAGTTAGCCAGAGCTGGCTGATTCAAATCCTGTTTTGTGAGTTTATTAGCTGTGTGACCTGGATTATGCCACTTAAATTCACTAGTTTTGTTTTCTTACCTGTTTAGTGAAGATAATAATTACCCACATTGTTGTCCTATAGATTAAATAAAATGATGCACATAAAACCCAGCTCCTACTACATAAAGGGCACATAAAATTCAATTTTTATTATCAGGGAAAATAAAACACAATATGCAGAGTTAGACAAAAGAAGATAGAAAATGGAGAGCAAGTGAAGTGATACAAACTCATCCACACCATTAATCCAGACCAAATTTAATAATAGTTATTTTTTCTCCCTAGAAAGTTGTTGGTTGCTCAGATGTGATTCAGAAATGCCAGCATGGGGGCCATGGAAAGGGCTTCAATAGGGGAACTGATGAATTACTAGAAAGAACATGAGTGGGAATGTTCCCAAGCTTAAGTGAGCTTTGAGCTCCCAAACAGAGCTAGCTGTTTCATTGCTGTGGTTTTTATTTACTAAATTTGGGCTGAGAAGCTAGGATTTGAGTTTCTGATGCTGTCTGTCATCAGATCACTGATATATTTCCTTATCTCCTGCATTATATCTCTTTCATGGTTATTCTTTTTTTTTTTGCATCATTTAAAATTAAAGCCTTGACTGTCCCTTGACTAAATGATTTTAGAATACAACTGTTTTTATTTTAAATTTCTTATTTACATATTACCTTCCATCATGGATGCTGGAAATAACTTTAGAATATTTTAAAACTCTAAGATGGAGAAAACATTCTGGGCAACAAATTTATGTTTATTTTTCAGGTAGCTCATGTCAATCTGACCCTTCTGAGCCTTACCTTTCCTTGTGGGACTACCCTTTAATTCTAAAAGACAATGCTTTGCACACAGTGTTAAACATATTATGTTCTGTGTTAATCATCATGGAATCCAAGGGTTTTCTTTGCTTCCTACCCTCTGTATCCAATAAACTAAACCATGCCAACGTGGTGATTTAGCAAATGATTTATTCTTTTCTGTCAATTTTGGGCTAGTAACAAATATTGCAAGAAAATCATGCTGCTTAATAAGTTCACATCTAACTGAGAATGCTAGTATTTTTCCACATGTCTAGAATGCATTTGCATCTTTAATTTTTCTCTAAGTAGTATAAAAATGTACTGACATAAACAACCAGTATAATTATGTTTCTATGAGGAGATCAAAAATCCAGAGTAGAAATAAAGAGATTTGTATTTGTATCCCAACTCTGATACTTATAATATGGCCCTGGCTATGTATTGGAACTTTATGGATACTTATGTACCAAATGTTTATTGATCACATATGTTTCAGATCCTAATCTTATCTCCTCAAAAACATGGTCATACAAATTTACAAGGTCAAGTATGGTTCAATGAGAAAAGAAAAGTGCATGTTTTAAATTGAAAAATTATAAAAAGAGTGAGAAATTCTTCAGCATCCTTTCATCTATCCATTTCTGAACAATGTCCCTTATGAAGCAAAAACTGCCTCCTAACTTATGAAAGACAGAAATAGCAGACACTTATTTTCTGAAGCTTCCTTTGTAGCCATAAACTAGGCACAGAAGCTCAAGTTTCTGTATTGGATGAACTGACCCTAGAGTCCCAGGAACCAGGAGGGATTTTGTCTTTCTAGTGGTAAATGTAGGAGGACTAAATTTCTAAATCTTGGTGACAGCAGTGCTACTGGCAATGCCAAGAGCCACAAGACCAGTGTGATAAACATCAGCAAACAGGACCTCATGGTCACAATGGCACAGGGTTCCCTGACCAGTTCTGCATTGGCCTAATATACACAGTCCCAAACCTCATTCTCCCATCTTTTTAGTAGTGTCTAAGCTCTCCAATATCCTTTCAGTGCAACTAGTGTCTATTCAAATTAGCTAAAGGTGCTTTCTATTGCTGCAATTCTGACTCCTAACAGATATAAAGAGAGTTAAATTGTAGATGTTTTCAAAACACCCATCTACCTGTGGAAGATGCTACACTATTACTATTATGGGCTGAGGAAGACATAACAAAAGAGCTCCCCTCCCCAACTTCAATTGAAACTGATGTAATAGCCCAGTAGAGCTGATGTTTAGGGTGTCTTTGAATAAACATAGAAGTTAATCCTCTCAGTCTTAAAACTTGAGAAAGTTGAATTTGTCTTAACTGAGTTTCTCTCTCAGGAAACCAACCATCAGGCCTCCCCAAATAGTCTCAAGGAGCTGAAACTCACCAGATCACTGCATTTGGACAATGAGATCCCAGATCCCTCACTCATCATAACTGCCTAGCCAACCACCTGCTTCCTGTTGACCAACTCCTCTTCCTTTCCCCTCCTTCTGCCCCATGAATGAATGTCTCTGTAATCAAGTAACTTTAGAAGATGTTGCATACCATGCTCTCTTGGAAATCTGCATAACAGATCAACATATGATAGGCTCTGGGAAGTGTAATGGTAAAGAGATATTTGTGACTTTCTACCTTGCACCTAAACTTATTTGGCTGAGAAAAATGTATTTTCCAAAGCACCAATAACATTGTGCCATTAGGGTCCTGCTGAATGTGTTTTTAGGCATACATCTATGTCATATTATTTAGTCATCTTATTTTGGAAGAGATAATCCTAGAAGTATGCTACACATAGTAACAGGAGAAATAGCATGGGAATGGGATTCATATCACATACCATGTGAAATATTATCTTGGGGACATCAATGCACCTCTCTGATCCTTAATTTCCTATTCTGTAGAATGTGGTAAACCCCTTTTATGTACATTACTAAAATACTGTACATAAAACTCTTAGCGCAATGTCTAGCACATAGGGAACTAGATGTATTATTGAAGAAAGATATTTACCTGACCCCTTCATGGGATTTGCAATAAGGGTGCCTCATTTACTCAGCCTGTAGCTCTCAACACCTCATGGGAGGGAGCATGAGAAAAAACAAGGTGGGAACTGGAGTGCAGGAGTGCTAGAACCAGCCAGCCACTCCAGTGCCAGCAGAGGTGAACTCCACTCACTCAAACCCACTGTGTTCCACCCGTCACAGAAGGAAGCACACAGGTGAGTGGGTACAGGAGCTGGGGGGGGTGCTTCTTGGCCCTGGAAGGAGCAAACTCTGTGTGGGCCCTGTGGCAGTGTCTAGGGAGGATGCCCAAAATCCCTGAAGCCTCAGTGGGGAGTATTACAGTGCTCCTTTAGCTCTGCTGTCCACGAATGCCTTAAGTGTTAACAGATCAATGGGCCCTCTGCCTTCTACCAGCAAAGGCAAAGTGTCAGTATGTCAGCCTTTCCTATCCTCAGTCATGGCTCCTGAGCTCTTGTCAAGCATCCAAGAGAAATGAGTTGTGCAAACGAACTGAAGAATGGTACATGCAGGGGATTTTATTGCTGATGAAAATGGCTCTCAGCAGGAAGGGAAGCTGAAAAAGGGATGGGTGGGAAGGTAATCTTCCCCTGAAGTTCAGCCATCTCCAGCCAGATTCTTCTCCAAAGTTATGCCGTCAGGCTGTCCTTCTGACTTCAAGCTGCTTCTCTCTGACATCCAGCTGTAGTCTCTGATATCCAGGTGCTTCTCCTTGCTGCTGGCTGAGTCTGGGGTTTTTATCGGCACAGGATGGGGGACAGGGCAGGGTCATGGGTGCATTTGGAAAAGGCAACATTTAAGCAGGAAAACAGGGATGGAAGTTCTCACTTTGGGCCACAGTCTCAGGCTTTTTGGCTTGAGGGTGGGACTTTGCCAGGGACCCGCATTTTCCTGCCTAGAATTTCTCTGCCTCCTGTCCCTATTATTATTATAAAAAATAAATTGAAAGTATTAAAAATTAAATTATATAATGCATGAAAATAATCTAGTAACAAAATCTGTGCCATCTACTAGCTGCTCAATGAAAAGATAGGTTACCTTTCTCTCTTTGGTAGAAGCAAATTTGATCAAATGCAATAAGGAGAATTGTGTATTCTCTTCACTACACTGTAAATGGAGGGAGGGAGGATAGAAGCTGAGTCTGGTTTTGTTCAGCATATTCCCCCAGAGCACCTAAAACAAAGTATATTTTTGTATATCACTGTATAAATGTCCCACTGTTTGTGTTAACTTCCCAGAGCACAGAATCAAAATGCTCCATTTTTTGCTCTGTAGAAATTTATTCAAAACAATAGATTGCATATAATAAGCTCTTTTTCTCATATTTTACTACATTTCTCAGCCTGGTCTCAATTTTGTTTTTCAATTCAAACTTCCAATGACTAGCAAAAGGCAAAGAAATAAGAACGTCTTATTTTTGATAGAGTTAAGGTGAATATATTGGCATCTCAACAAACGTACAGATTGAAAACTTCATTCTGAAACATTGGAAGACTTTCCTATTAAGCAGTGCTCCACTCTCAGATCCGTGGATACAAAATTGCTATTGACTGCAGGGCAGAACAAACTAACCAATTTCACAGAATTACTTTTTGGTATATGGATTACAACTGCACAGAGAACAGCACATATATAAAGATACTGGCTTCTAGGACAAAGGAAAAATAGCAACTAGGGCAATATAGTCATATCAGAAAGCTAGAATATTTGTGTGATGGTTTGCATTTTGGAAAACGCCAGACTTAATTTTTCATACTTGGTCTCTTCAATATTCTTGGGAGCATGGTAAATGCAGCTATAATGAATAATTTATAGTTATCAAAACTCTCTTAACCTCATCAAGCATTCACATATTTAGCATAGGATTCTTCCCCCAAAGAAAAATATCTGAAAATCTCTACTTTTTGAAAGATAGTTCAATGCTTAAAAAATGATCCCAATTATTAATTTGGCCCAAAAGGCCCTGTGTAGTCTGACACCATCTCTAATAGTCGGGTTAGGCTATGCTATGCTACAATCATAAGCAAACCCCAAATTCCAGTGGCCTAACATAGCATTTTATCTATTAATCTATTTGTTACACAATGCCACATGTCCATTCAACTCTTCTGAATAATTTTTCTCCAAATAGCGACTTACATCTGGATCAGTTAATTTTGGAAACTTTGCCATATCAATACAAGGTATTCTCATTGACCCCAGAAGAGAAAAAGAGGTACTAGATAATTAATTGTGCATGCCCTTTAATTGCCTCAGGCAAAGATGATATTCTCAGAGCTCCTCTGCCTGAAAGGGGTGAGGAGTTTGTATGTGAGTAAATGAATATTTAAGGAGTACCACTATCTCTTCTTCACCTCCTTACCTGTACCACTCTCCTACCTGTTCTCAGCTCTCAGCTGTACTCAGTTTTTTAAATCAATCATGCTCTCTGCTCCTACAGGGAATTTGCACAACCTTTTATTTCTGTGGGTAATATCTTAATATTCTTCGCTATCATTCCACCAACTACCTCTATCTACTTGATTTTCTTTTTCTCCCATTCTCAGCTAAGCATCACTTTCTCAGGGAACTCCTTCCCAAACTACTCCCCGCCTGCAAATACTATTACAGGAATTCTTTCATAAGAGGACTTATTACTTCATAGATATATGTTCCTCATTTGGCTATTTGACTAAGCCTTGCCTATCCCACTAGAACGGAGCTGCAAGAGAACATGAAATGTATTTTTTTATCACCATTGTATTCCCAATACATAGAAAAATAATTGGCCCATAATATAAATGCAATAAATTTTTGTTAAATGAATAAATGAATGATGAAGCATGTGGTATTCAGAGAGATTATAACATATGACCAAAGTTATAACCAACCGGTGACAAAGCCCAGACTTATACCCTGATCTACTGACTCTAAATTCCATTATCTTTTTATTGCTTCCCAGTAGGCTAAATTTGGAAATGGGCATTTTCTTGGAAGGAAGGAATTGGAGATGCGTCATAGAAAGACTTTCCTGTCAGAAATTTAAAAAGAAACACAGATTTTAGCCATCTGTTGTTACAGAGCCAACAATTCTTTGGGCCTGGAGATCCTTGGATGTATAAGTTAATTACAAATCAACCATTGTCTACTTAAAGAAAAAAATGAAACTATTGTTAATATCAGCCAAAAGAGCTTTCAAAGTTTGAAGACAAAAAAAGTGTTTGCTTTGTGGCTTTCTATTGTCCCGTCGTTCTTATTTTCAGACTGTTGGGACAGACAAGTCACATTAATTTATGAGTCACACTTTCTAAAACTAGAACTTTATTTGCATGAACAATAGTTATGTGTCCAGCTTGATAGTCAGTAAGGTAGAAAACCGACCTCTATTGAGTGAATAGCTTTTTCTGTTTCTGTAGATCACCTGAAATTAGGTGAAATTTCATTGTGAGATAGTCAGTTAAAAACTGCTAATTTATAAAAGTGATGCATACTCAATGGAAAATAAAAATAAAAACGAAATTCTTAAACAGTGCGAGGAAGAAATCAAATTTTGTTTGAAACCCTACCTCCCAAATGTAATCACAGTTACTATTTGGGCAAACATCCTTCCGAAGACAGTTATCTCTCAATAACCCATATTTTTAAGAAATTGGCTGTTTCCAGCTGTACAACCCAAGGTTGAATTGTGCAATGCTTGAGTCAAAAGTCCCAGGTTTAAATGCTAACTCTGCCACCTACCAGCTGTGTGACCTTGGACAATTACTTAATTTCTCTAACCTTCACTTTCTCCATTTAAAAATTTTGAGAGTATTTGCTTTGAGAGGGTGGTTATAGAAATAAAATGAGAGAAAGTATGCAAAGTACCAGGTACAATGCCAGAAATACTCAGGCATCCAAGGAAAACAAATACAATTTTATTTTCCCAGGAGGATATAGATAGTGATGATCCGATATGAGGATTAGATGACAAATGAAAAAGTGGGAGATCATTTTGCATGCAGTTAAAATTGCAAGACCAATGCCCTCAGCTACCCTTTTATCAGTGCTGAGGGGCACAGAGGCTAAATTGGCTTTTAAACATGTCTGATGGTTACATTTACTAAAATTATCTGAAAAGTCATTCTCTACAAAAATAAATTGGCTGGGAGTATATGAAGACGGAACTATCATTTACTGAGCAAAGTATTAAGCAGGTGTTATGCTAGGTTCTTTACATTTATTGTTTTATTAAATCCTCCTAACAACACTATAAGTTAGATGCCATTGCTAGACATATTTTATAGATTAGGGAACTGAAACTTAGCAAGTTGCGGTGATTTGTCCAAGCAAATTGAGGTGATTTGTCTATTATTACATGTCTTTGGACATGTAATAATAGAGGAACTGAGATATGATTCTAAGTTGGGTCGACTACAAATTTGAAGCCCTAAATCATTGGGCAGCACTTCTTTCCCAGGTACCTGGAATATCTGCATTTATTTTTTTAAATCCTATAAAATGTGCTTTCAAGAAAACATAAGTTGAAAAGCAAAATATACTGTCTACTTAATAGACAATGAGCTTAAGATCTGAAAGGATGCACCACTTGTTTACTGTCTGATAATATGCACAACCAGTTGAATGACAGAGCTAGGGAGGACCATGAACTCCTAAATTGCTCTAACTAAACTGGTTTTTGGAAGAAACCAAAGGCTACTCACAGATTATCTCTTAAAAATTTCTGCCCAGAAAAATAGTGACAATCATACTGCATGTCTAAATAGCATGCTCTTTCAAAGATTACATGATTCTTGCAACAACTTTCAATCTGGAGGGTAGACATTATAATGCCTATTTTACACATAGAAGAGATTAGATTACAAATTCAGTTAGTTTTAGAAAATCTAGGCTTTCTCACTTTAAATAAGTGTTCTCTTTACAATATCTGGGAGAGAAAAAAAAATACAATATTTTCTCTCCCAGGAAAAACTTTCACATATTTTGAAACTCATTCACCTATACTGTCATGTCCTGGAGCAAATAACTTACAGAATATTCTCTTTATGTTTTATACTTTAGCTAGGTGAAGTCTCTGTTTTTTTCAGATATCATGATGTGCAACTCAAATAGCTCTGCCTGGCGAGTTATAGGGAAACATCCTAAATGAGATTTATGAGGAGGCTTCTCTAGCTTTGGTGCCCTTCCTGGATAAAGTAGAACTTTTCCCACTAACTCTGCAAGATCTATACTTGAGACACTTGGGAACTCTTTTTATGAGAAATCAAAATGACTGCCTTCATCACGATGAATAATTTTTGACTTTAGAAAGAATATGTAATTAAGTGACTTGCAGTACAATCACTCTAAATTAATCAAGAGAGGACAGACATTAATTCAGAAGGGGAAAAATCTATCAAGAGCAAACCAAGTTCAATAGTGTAGAATAATTAATATCCATTTCACAAGACCAAATGCCATTAGCTCTAGTCAGCCAACAGCCTGGCACAATCACTTTCTCTTCCCTCTGCCACTGGTCCATGGAAAAACACAGCTTACTGAATGTGTTTTCAAACAACTTAATTTGCTTCTCATTAAGGGGCTGTGTGGTTGGCCATAATGGATAGATGTTTAAATGAGAAATAAGAGTTTATTAAAAACGAAAAAGTTTTTATTAAAAATATTTAATTTTGTGATGGGAAGAACTTATTAATGTTTTGTTTTGTTTTGTTTTATTTTTCTTTAATCTCCGTGCTCCAGTTGATTTACTCAAAATCAAACTGAGAGCCGCCTACAACATCCCAGTAGTAAAAAAGCCCATCCAATTCAACTTCGTGGTACAACCATACTTTAATTAAAAAGAAAACCTGGAATGGAATGCAAACTATACCATATTTCAACCTTAACTCATGGGGAAGTCATGTTATCTCTCTGAGTCTCAGTTCTTGTATCAGGTGAAAATCATGTGAATATTTATCACACTGAGTCTCAGTTCAGGTGAATATTCACCTCTCTGAATTTCTTTTACCAGGTGAAAATCAGGTGAATATTTACCACATTGGGAAGTTGTGGGGTCAAAATGAAATCATAACTGCTTTGTAAAGTCTAAAGTAATACTAATTAAGCTTTTAAGTCCGAGGACCATTGATTCAAATCCTAGTTCCTTTAACTCATTAGCTGTGTGGTCTTGAGTAAATTACACACTTCTCTGGATTTAAGATGTCACCCATAAAAGGATAACAATGATTCCTGATAAGACTGTTATGTGAAATATCAGGAAAGAACCAAATTCAACACCCTGTTGGCACTTGATAAAAGGTGGCATTATTATTGTTATGTTTACTAACTTTCCCCAAGATCAACATTATGAGAATTAGTATCAGTGAGGTGATCATAATGGAAAGTATAATACATAATACAAGAAATCTTTGGCAAGAACACAGGAATAAAGCAATAAACCATGGTAGGGCTGAGAGAGAGAGGAGCTTTTTCTGCTAAATATATAATTACTTTCAACTCATACATTTATATATATATTTAATTTTATTTTATTATTATACTTGAAGTTTCAGGGTACATGTGCACAATGTGCAGGTTAGTTACATATGTATACATGTGCCATGCTGGTGTGCTGCACCCATTAACTCGTCATTTAGCATTAGGTATATCTCCTAATGCTATCCCTCCCCCCTCCCCCCACCCCACAACAGTCCCCAGAGTGTGATGTTCCCCTTCCTGTGTCCATGTGTTCTTGTTGTTCAATTCCCACCTATGAGTGAGAAGATGTGGTGTTTGGTTTTTTGTTCTTGCGATAGTTTACTGAGAATGATGATTTCCAATTTCATCCATGTCCCTACAAAGGACATGAACTCATCATTTTTATGGCAGCATAGTATTCCATGGTGTATATGTGCCACATTTTCTTAATCCAGTCTATCATTGTTGGACATTTGGGTTGGTTCCAAGTCTTTGCTATTGTGAATAGTGCCGCAATAAACATACGTGTGCATGTGTCTTTATAGCAGCATGATTTATAGTCCTTTGGGTATATACCCAGTAATGGGATGGCTGGGTCAAATGGTATTTCTAGTGCTAGATCCCTGAGTAATCGCCACACTGATTTCCACAATGGTTGAACTAGTTTAAAGTCCCACCAACAGTGTAAAAGTGTTCCTATTTCTCCACATCCTCTCCAGCAGCTGTTGTTTCCTGACTTTTTAATGATTGCCATTCTAACTGGTGTGAGATGGTATCGCATTGTGGTTTTGATTTGCATTTCTCTGATGACCAGTGATGGTAAGCATTTTTTCATGTGTTTTTTGGTTGCATAAATGTCTTCTTTTGAGAAGTGTCTGTTCATGTCCTTTGCCCACTTTTTGATGGGGTTGTTTGTTTTTTTCTTGTAAATTTGTTTGAGTTCATTGTAGATTCTGGATATTAGCCCTTTGTCAGATGAGTAGGTTGCGAAAATTTTCTCCCATTTTGTGGGTTGCCTGTTCACTCCGATGGTAGTTTCTTTTGCTGTGCAGAAGCTCTTTAGTTTAATTAGATCCCATTTGTCAATTTTGTCTTTTGTTGCCATTGCTTTTGGTGTTTTAGACATGAAGTCCTTGCCCATGCCTATGTCCTGAATGGTGTAATGCCTAGGTTTTCTTCTAGGGTTTTTATGGTTTTAGGTCTAACATTTAAGTCTTTAATCCATCTTGAATTAATTTTTGTATAAGGTATAAGGAAGGGATCCAGTTTCAGCTTTCTACATATGGCTAGCCAGTTTTCCCAGCACCATTTATTAAATAGGGAATCCTTTCCCCATTGCTTGTTTTTCTCAGGTTTGTCAAAGATCAGATAGTTGTAGATATGCAGCGTTATTTCTGAGGGCTCTGTTTTGTTCCATTGATCTATATCTCTGTTTTGGTACCAGTACCATGCTGTTTTGGTTACTGTAGCCTTGTAGTATAGTTTGAGGTCAGGTAGCGTGATACCTCCAGCTTTGTTCTTTTGGCTTAGGATTGACTTGGCGATGCGGACTCTTTTTTGGTTCCATATGAACTTTAAAGTAGTTTATTCCAATTCTGTGAAGAAAGTCATTGGTAGCTTGATGGGGATGGCATTGAAACTATAAATTACCTTGGGCAGTATGGCCATTTTCATGATATTGATTCTTCCTACCCATGAGCATGGAATGTTCTTCCATTTGTTTGTATCCTCTTTTATTTCATTGAGCAGTGGTTTGTAGTTCTCCTTGAAGAGGTCCTTCACATCCCTTGTAAGTTGGATTCCTAGGTATTTTATTCTCTTTGAAGCAATTGTGAATGGGAGTTCACTCATGATTTGGCTCTCTGTTTATCTGTTATTGGTGTATAGGAATGCTTGTGATTTTTGTACATTGATTTTGTATCCTGAGACTTTGCTGAAGTTGCTTATCAGCTTAAGGAGATTTTGGGCTGAGACGATGGGGTTGTGGAGTATTTACAGTGTGCCATTAAAAGAATGTTATTCATAATCATTGCTTTCAGGGGCTTAATATATAGTTAGATAAATAGATATAAATATATTTATATATGCAAATACATAAAACATATTTACATGCAAATTATATGCATATATAATTTATGTAAGTATACACACTATATTACATTTTAATTTAAAAATTTTGCAGAAAGAGTAACATATCACAAGACAGTGTATAGTAAAATTGAAATGATTGTGACAGACAATAAGTATTCAAGCATAGGAATAATACCTGTTTTTCACTGTATTAAGTAAACACAATGTGTTATCAACAATATTTATTACAGAAATAAATCTGTCAATACAAGTTTCATTCTGAAAACTTGTTTCTGAGGACTGAAGTTTAGCTTTCTGATTTTGTTGTTCCCCATTTTTCTCTACTCACCTAAATAAAAAGATAAGGGAGAGTTCTCCCCGAAAGCCTATCAGTAAATATCAGCGAATCTGTTATCACTCTTATACTTAACGTCTTTCAAATTTACTCCTTTGGCATCTTAAGTGGCATGAGTGGCTTCTTTTCCTGCTACTCTCAGGTACACATACATAGCCTATGTGCAGTGCTGTATTGCATGACTTATCCTATAATCACTTGTACAAGTTGTTCTCTCTGCCTAAGATAACCCTTCCTCCCCTACCTAGTAAGCCCCTACTCATCCATCAACTCTTCACGCAACTGTTTCTTCATCTTTGAAGTTTTTTCATTCCTACTCATTTGAAAAAAAGTGAATTGTTATATTTTGTTCTGCCTCTCCATCATTAATTAACATATTACAATGATCTGATTGCTCATCTATCTTCTCCACTAAACTTATGAGATTTACAAAGACTGGGACTATGTCATGTCTCTCCATGGCTCCAGGTATAGTGGCTGGCAAGTTGTAAGCACTTTACAAATAAATCTCTAGCCAATTCTTTCAAATAACTATTATATTAAACTTGTTATTATGTTGCATTAGACAAGAAAGAAAACGTGTTTTGAATAAAGACAGCTAATACTACTGAACAATTCTTACATGACAGGTGTTATACTGTTATTTACCCCAGTTTATGAATGAAAAGAAAAAAAAAATAAGCTGCCAGAGACAGCGAGATTAGATCAACCATTAGATCAAGTAAGAACTGATATAAGGTGACCTATCCAACTGTCATGAGATGAAAGGGCATCAAGGTGGTGATTCAGAGTAAAGGAAGCTTTGGGTTGCAGAGAAGAAAATAAAGGTGACAGAGCCACCCACACTAGTACTCTTAACAACACATGTGGTTATTTTATTAATGAAAATGTAAACGTGTTTGATCTATTTGGCAAAGTTGTGGAAACTGGATTCATGAAAATTAAGATGGTGTTCTGCTGGTTTTATAGAAAGAGGCTAAAATTTAAAAAAAAAGAAAGGGGCTAAAATAGAAATTTCAACTGCTACACATACAAGGGAGATAATTATTTTGGTTAAATGTAAATTAATTAATAGAAAAATTCCAATTTTTGCTAAACATGGGAAAATCTATGACTAATAGCCAAGTGACAGAGGCACTTAATCTCCATTTCTTTTTTATTTTTTTTAAGATGTTATTGGCTTTATTTTTGATTCTAGAATCAGGCAACACCTCATTCTATAAAATAGGAGTGTTCTCACCATTCCTTAATTGATGACATTTAAACCACAGATGCTTTTCTTTTACACTTTATTTTTATTTTTACTTTTTTCAGGATCCAGTTGATTGGACTGAATACACTTTATTTTTAAAAGAAACATACATTTAAAAATAAAAGACAAATCAATGATGACTCCCATATATACATGTCATGGGAAGTGATGTGTGAAAATGAGTGAAAACTCCAAAAATAAATAAATAAAATAAAAATTAAAAGGAGAGCACTGTCATTAAAAATACATATAATAAAATAAAGGAATCCTATAGCCTAGACTAGAATATTCTTTTTGAATATATAGAAAAAAGGACAGAAAGCTCTCCAGGAACATGAAAGACATTACAGGGATCCATCCCTAACCTGCTTTCTTTCCTTGCATCTCCTTATCTTTTCATGTGAGGATAGTGTTACCTCACTGGGAGAAGTTCTGTTTGAGGATCTTAGGCAGAGAAAGCATAAGGAAGGTCCTTGATGGCTGAAATGCAGCAGCTTAAGGCATTTGCCTGCGGCTGTTGAACAACTTTGAAAAGCATCTTTGTCCGTTTTAGAATTGAGCTTTCTTTTCTTGGAATGACAACATTGCAGAGGAAGCCAGTGGCAAGATCAGCAAATTCTGAAGATGTCAATGTCCTCCGTATGTACCCAATGTGTGACTGTCCATATTCATGTACATACACCCACACTCAGAACACACAATTTGCTTGTTTCAGAAATCATACTTAGGCCATTATCATTACATGGAATTAATTGAACTGATTTCTTGAGAATAATCATCCTCGATATTGAAAACACAGGCTACATGCTCACTGAACTTTTGTCTTCATGGAAACACTTTCGAAAGACTAAATTCCTTTAGCAATTGGATGATATGGCTGGGTTCAGGCCAAGAGATGGGCACAGAAGTGATATACGCTGCTTCCAGCTCTAACAATAGAATGACTTGTCTAATTTTTTACCTCCTCTCCTTCCCTAAGCCTGTCTGCCCAATCTGCCAGGTAGATAACCCTAGGCCAACCTTGAAGCCTCAGCGTGATAGAGACATAAGATATAAGAAGCCTGGGTTCTAACATCACTCTTGGAAGACAGCCACCTGACCTGTCTCAGACTTCCATGTGAGTGAGAAATAAACTCCTCTGCTAAGGCCATTGAGCCTTTAGAATTTATCTATGACTTAGATTGTCTACTCTGACTAACAGGAAAATTGGCGCAAAAAATGTGGTATTGCTTTAAGAAAAGCGTGAAATAACTTTTGCTCATCAATTGGGCAGCAGACACTAAGAAAATCAATATCAGATGCTGGAAATATGTCAATGGCATTCAGAGGCAAATCTTTGGTAAAAGTTTTGCCCCAAATCAGCACTTACTACACCAGCTACATCTCTAAGGAAAGAGGATTGAGACTAGGGCCCAGGCACGGTGGCTCACGCCTGTAATCCCACCACTTTGGGAGGCCGAGGCAGGCGGATTACCTGGGGCTGGGAGTTTGAGACCAGCCCGGCCAACATGGTGAAACCCCATCTCTACTAAAAATACAGAAATTAGCCGGGTGTGATGATGGGCACCTGTAATCCCAGCTATTCAGGAGGCTGAGGCAGGATCATCACTTGAACCCGGGAGGTGGAGGTTGCAGTGAGCCGAGATCACGCCACTGCACTCCAGCCTGGGCAACAGAGCGAGACTTTGTCAAAAAAAAAAAAAAAATAAGAAGATTGAGTATAGAAAGTTCTACTTTAGCCCCTTTCCATGAAGCTAGCAGAACAGCATCTTAATTTCCATGCATGAACTAGATTGTTTTGGTTTAGTTGTGATTGTTTATGTTTGGGAAGCCTTTTCAGAAGTGGGAAAGGTCAGGAAAGAATGAGTCACTTTGCAAACATAGATGAAAATGAACAGAGAATCCGTAAATGCGGGGTCTCTCAGGATTGGAAATTGTAGACTGCAAATATAAGGAATGGGATTTGAAAAGACTTTACCTGATGGAGACTGAGTAAAAACTTCTCAGAGAACAGACCAGATGAAGGATTGCGTTTTCTATTGAACCCCAATGACTTTGAGATATTTGAGAGAGAAAGAATCATGAGGATGAGAAAGCACAGACATCAATTGGACATAAAAAATTATTTCTAGGATCACCACATAAAGCAAAAGAGATTTAAATACATCAGAAGCCTACCATGTGGTTGTGGGAACTGTATTTCCAGAAAACTATGATGCCTGCAACTTAAAAAACAGTGCCCGTTTGAGACTTAAGCAGCCTTTGGCATCTATTCCTCTGCCTCCCATTCTCTTAGAGCTGGAGAAAGGCCATGCAAAATTCCCCTGGGCCAATCGCCACACTGTTTCTTCCATTCTTTCTGTTTAAGACTGGAGGTCTGTTTTGGTTATTTTAGCCCTGCCTCTCCTTTACATATTAAAATGTATGGGAGTGGAGAGCAGTTAACTTTTATTTTTATTCCATGGGTTGCCAGACCCAAGTCTTCTATATCCAGGCCTTCTAGAAAACAATGAGCAACACTTTCCAGGGCCTGAATGGGACTTTTGGGGCTGCCATCCTTCTAAAGAGGTGAGTGTTTCCTCCAAGCAAAAGGAGATATGTGGTGACCAGAATGTGTAGGGGTCTACAGCAAAGACAGGGTAGATACTCACCTCACCATTTCCTCTTCTTGGACATAAGGAAGACTATATTTCCTAACCCCATTTGCAATTAAGTTGACATATATGATTGGTTCCTGGCAAACAGAATGCGGGCATAAATGATTCATGACATTCCAAAGATGGTCCTGACAATACTGGTTGATCCCCGCGTTCTCGCTATGTTCTCCTTCCCTGTCATGTCTGCTACTGCTGTTTGGATAAAGTCAGGGTGAACTGAAAGCCACAGGATACACATAGCTTGGGTTTCTGAATTACAATCTGGTGGAGAACTGTTTGACCTACATCAGATTGATATTAGCAAAAAGTACATTTTTATTGTATTATATCACTAAAATTTTAGAATTTATTACTTCTATATAGCTTAACCTATCCAATGTATACATTTTATATATAAAAAAGCATACATAGTCAGGCATGATTATTATTATTATATGTGTTACTTCATTATTATCCTACTAGATTGAATTTTGTTTGCTAAATCAATTAATAGGATTGTTATAATTGTTTCACAAACATTTGACTAGGAGATGAAAGTAATCCTAACTGAGCGTTACTCTAGTCACTGTGGTAGATACTTTAAAATCACTTTGAATTATGTTATTCCAATTTTAAAGATGAGACAGCTTAAGACATAGAGAAGCTATGTAACTTGCTACTTGAGTGCATATTACTATTTTACAACCAATCCTTTTCTTAAAGTGCTAGCTTTCCTGAGCTTTTCCTTTAGAGATATGTCCATCCCCCATTCTCAGTACAGTTGTCTGCATAGAGTTTTACACCTAGACCTACACCTAGACTTTTCCCCAGGATACCAGGTATAGTTCAAAGGTAGCGTGTGGTTTAAGCCAGTCTGATCACAGTGAATCTTAGAATTTTTATTTAGATTGGGGAAAATAAATTCCCTCTTTATTCTGAATGTTAACCAGAAATGGGAAATTCCCTGGAATTACTAGTGACCAACCATCTTTCAATGACATGAGGAGAAACCATCTGCTTATGAGAAGAAGACAAACAAGAGATGGAATGGATTACATATATCATCATTTGAATTTTTATGCCCTTTGGAACATTAAACTATATTTAAACCATTATGCTCTTCTCTTGGTAAAGACAATGGATCCCCTCTCCATTCATTTAAAGTGCATTTGAGTTGGTTTAGCCTCACCTTCAATATCATGCATCCTAAAATATACGTAAGTCCAGCTAGGTAACAGCTGAACCAATTTTCAAAATCCAGAGCACAATTTTTTTTCTCATTTAATGATGCTGTATTACCTTTCATTTGATAAAATATAGTTTTGTATTACATTAAGCTATTTGTCTACATTGAGACATTTATAAGGCAACAACTGTACATTGGGAATTACGCTAGGAGGGAAATATAAAAGATATAGTATCAGAAGATTACAGTGTTACTGAGATGTAAATAATATCCATTAAGCTGTGTGACAACTGCACAAAGCAGGATAACCAAGTGCTAAATATTAATCTATTATTGATCAAATTCCGATAACATTAAAAACCCTAGTAATAATTGGCTCAAAATATTTTTATGGAGAATTATTTTAAATAAACCATTTTAATTGTCCTAGAGAGAATATAAGATGATGGAAAACATTTACATGTATTTTATGAACTTAGCCTAATATAAAAAATATAACTTGACAGATAAGACGTGACGTCCAAGGTAGGTTAGAAAACACAATGCACCTTCTAACTGGTCTTTCTCCGGATCCTTTGGAACTGTGTGAACCATCATGTAGGAAATCCAGGTACTTTGAGTAACCACAAAAAGAAAACAGTGGAGAGAGCCTGAAACTCCATGAGGAGTGGGAGATGACCGGCTTGCCTCTATCTGCTACAACCCCTCACTCTTCCAGTTCTAGCCACTGTGTAATGAGGAACACATGAGGGGAACCTAGTTAGAACCAACCAGACAGCTGTTTCAGAACTACTCACCCACAGAAACCATGAGATATAATAAATGATTGTTGATATTTTAAGACACTGAGATTTGGGTCAATTGGTTTTGCAACAAAAATAAATGCATAAATAATAATAAGCAAAAAATATAAAATTGAAAGTTTTAAAATTAATTTAATAAAGTTTTCCTAAGCACACATGTACACACATAAATACACACAGCCATATACACTTGCAAACACATATAAGACAACAGACCATTCTTAGTTTGAATACGGATACTAAATTCACAGAGAACTTACTTTTAAAACTCAGTAGAATATCAAAAAGAAAAATTGAATTATTCATTTTTAATACATTTCAAGGGTATATGTGAATCATTACAAACATGTAAGGATAATGCAACATTATGAGATTATTAATGTCATACCCATGTGAGGAAACATGTCACTATCTTGATAGATGCTAATAAGGCATTTGATAAAATAACACACATTATAGATTAAAGCAATTCTAGATAAACAAGAATAAAAGAGTTATTTTACCAAGTGATAAAGAGCTATGTGAAACCTAAAGTCTTTTTATCAAGCAGCTCTGCTCCATGCAATAATTTCAGAATCCATACACTTTCAAGTTTGTATCTTCAGTATTCTATAGGTGCCAGGCATGGTGGCTTATGCCTGTAATCCCAGCTACTTGGGAGGCTGATGTGGGAGTAGGGCTTGAGCCTAGGAGTTTGAGGCTGTGATGTGCTATGATAGCACCACTGCATTTCAGCCTGGATGAGAGAGCAATCCTATTTCTAATATATATATTCACTAAAACAGAGCCTTTTCATAACATTGTACCTACAATCTATTCCACCACTACTACCACCGATAACAACAGCATCAATAACAACAAATGAGCAAGTTTTCCTACAAAGCTATTCTTGTGTTCATTTGCTACAGTAGCTCTAAAACTTGAGTGTACACGAAAATCACCTAGAGGACGTGTCACAAAAAAAACAAGATTGATGGGCTTCACCCCAGAGTTTTTTTATTTAGTAGGTCTCCGATAGGTCACAAGGAATTTCATTTCTAACAAGTTCCAAGGGAATGCTGTTGTGTTGCTCTGGGAACACACACTTTGAGAGAAACATTGAAACTGTTTTAATATTTCACCTCAGTGAAATTTAAAATATAAGCCCTATTCTGGTTCAAATAGTTGTTCTGAATAGTCTTGAGTATTCAAAATGGTATGGTATGATTGTTACATATGATAAGAGAGAGGAATAACTACATTATAATGGATACTATATAACCAGAATAGACATGGGTACTGTATAATTAATTTCTGACACTAAAATTGGTGCTTGGTTTGACATTTTGCTGGGACAGACAGCTCAGTTAAACTCAGCAACATTCAGGGCAGCTGCTCTTTATCCCACCTCCTATTTGTACTTCTCACTGTATCTGTTCTTCTCCCTCTTCCAGATAGTTGTGTACTTTCCTTCTGCTTCCTTTGTCTGCAATATACTTCTTCAATCCACCACATGGCTAACTCCTACTTTTATTTTTATTCCATGGGTTGCCAGACACAAGGTTCCTATATCCATCTTTTTTTTTTTTTTTTTTGAGACAGAGTCTTGGCTCACATGATCTTGGCTCACTGCAACCTCTACCTTCTGGGTTCAAGTGATTCTCCTGCCTCAGCCTCCCGAGTAGCTGGGACTACAGACGTGTGCCACCATGCTCAGCTAATTTTTGTATTTTTAGTAGAGATGGGGTTTCACCATGTTGGCCAGGATGGTCTAGATCTTTTGACCTTGTGATCCTCCCACCTCGGCCTCCCAAAGTGCTGGGATTACAGGCGTGAGCCCGGCCTATGATTCATTTTTAAAGTCACCTTTTCCGGGAGGTCTGTCTTGAAACACTTTTTTACTGCTTAAAATATGTTGAGAGCTTTCCTTTTTTCCAATCAGAACATGTTGTGCTCATCTCTATCATACTTCCAAGAGCATATTGTTTATGTATCTTCCTGTTTATGTATCTTGGCTGAAACTGTGAGCTCCTGAAGAGTGGGAATCTGACCTTGCTGGTGTTTCTATTTCCAGCCACCAGAATAAGCCCTTGAAGATATTTTCAATTAACAAATTGAAAATTAACAATATTTTCAATTAACATATATATGTATATAATTTGTTGTTAGCATTGTCAAAAGAAGCCTGGAGATTGTGTTTTATTTCATTTATAACTTTAGTCAAGTAGCTTTGGAATAGAAATCTATTTATTTGCTCATTCATATTTAACGGACTCCTGTCTATATGCCAAACACAACGGATATATTAGTGAAGAAGACCATGAGATTTCTATGCTCACAGGTTCCAACATTTGGTGAAGATGCAGATTAATAAAAAGATGATTACAGATTAGCATGATAAAGGCTTTGACGGGGTAATAAAGACTGACAGAGGCCAGGCGCGGTGGCTCACTCCTGTAATCCCAGCACTTTGGGAGGCCGAGGCGGGCGGATCACGAGGTCAGGAGATCAAGACCATCCTGGCTAATACAGTGAAACACCATCTCTACTAAAAATACAAAAAATTAGCCGGGCGCGGTGGCACGCACCTGTAGTCCCAGCTACTCGGGAGGCTGAGGCAGGAGAATGGCGTGAACCCGGGAGGCGGAGCTTGCAGGGAGCCGAGATAGCGCCACTGCACTCCAGCCTGGGCGAAAGAGCGAGACTCCTCCGTCTCAAAAAGAAAAAAAAAAAAAAACAGACTGACAGATTTATATATGAGGATCAATTAACACAGACTTGGAGGGTTAGGAAAGGATTCATGAACAAAGTAATTTCTAAAGTAGACGTTATTTTAAAAATCTGTTTTCCTTGGGTGTTTTCTGTATTAGTCTTGTATGTTCACATCTGGCATAGCAATTATCTATGGATTCATTGTTTGGGCTTCCAGAAAGTTGTATTTGAATATAAAATGAGAATCAGAAAGAAAAAATTTATAAGCTAATTATGAGATATCACAGTTTTTACTGTTTTTATATAAATAATTTTTGTTCCCTGTATTTGGAATTTTGAAATATTTTCTCCCTCTTTTCCTACTGTACATTTGTATTCACTCATTTTGCATGCAAATATGCAGATTCTAATCATTGATTGCTTTCATTATAGTGTAGTTATTCCTCTCTCCTATAATGTTTAACTGTCATACTGTGCTGTTTTGAATTTTGAAGGATAAGACTACTCAGAGCAACTATATTTGCATCATAATATAATTATAATGGGTCTGCATTCCTAATAAGTGGATTCATCACCTTTTTGGTATCACCTTTACCTTTGGATTGTCACTTTAAAGCTTAGGCATCTCAGTGAGGTTTCCTGTGCCCAGGTGCTGGCATTTAAGAAATTTATCAGATGCCTCAAATGAGACAGTGGTCAGAGGCATAGAAAAGGGTGATGATCACCGACTCAAGCAATAAAATGGAAAGGTTCAATTCACATTGTGTGCACAATTCTGGAATACCAAAATTGGTATTTAAAGTTTCTCCCATCACCACCAATTTTCTTCTCAACGGACTATTTTTCCTCAGTTAATATTATATCCTATATATCTAACAGGAAACTATTGACAACATATTAAAGAGGAGATGAAGTTAAAGAGAAGATTTTATTTCCTCATGCAAGAGGAAGTACACATATATTACTAATGAGCAATTTATAAAGCGTATAAAAGTTATGTCTTTCTCCTGATGTCACCAGATCATTTTTATTTTATTTGTCTGAGTCCAATTTAAGTGGCAATAAGTAATGCTTTATATTGTCTTCCATCCGTGGCTACAAATCAGAGTTACATGGCATGGTAGGCAGAAGAATGGTCCTCAAAGATGTCTACATTCTACTCTCCAAAATCCGTGAAAATGTTATTTTCTGTTAAAGAGAAATTAAGTTTGCAGATGAAATTAAGGTTAATCATCAGGTGATTAAACAGGGAGATTACTCTGGACTATCTGCGTGGGCACAATATAATCATAAGAGCCCTTAAAAGTGGAAGAGTAATTATGAAAAGAGAACCAGAGGGACAGCAGCTTGTGGTAAACTTGACCTAATTTTGCTGGCTTTGAAGTTTGGGTAAGTGGGCCTTGAACCAAGGAAGGCAAGCATCCTCTAAAAACTAGAAATGACGGGAAGATGAACTTACTTCTAGATGCACCCTTCTGACACCTTTATCTTAGCTCATTGAGATCCCCATTAGACTTATGATCTACAGAACTGTACAGTAATAAATTTGTGTTCTTAAAAACCACAAAACTTGTGGTAAATTTCTCACAACGGCAGTAGAAATTCAGTAAACTTGGGGTTCTTTTAATCGCTCTAATGCCCAGGTCACACTCCAGAACAATTATAGAAATTCTGGGGTCAGGAGAAGATACAGGTATCAATAATTTTTTCAGGTTCCCTGGGAAATTCCAATGGGCAGCCATGTTTAAGAACTGTTAACTATAAGCATATTTACAGGTCTTTGTAAGGAATTAAACTGCCTCAAAACCCTTCATTGGTCGTAAGGCTGGGGCCATACGTCCTGCCACTCCACATGTGGTTTCAGAGTATCAATATCGTCTCAGATAATGCATTTTCTAAGGTGTATTAACTTTAAAAATGCATTATCTGGGCCCCAACTTGACCCAACAAATAAGAATCTGAATGATTTGTATGCACATTAAATTTTAAGACACAAATAGTGAGCACTGACGGTTGCCCTCCTAATCCAAGATGTCTCTAAGACTTGTAATGAATTTTAAATTATTATAAAGATAAAATTTTTTAAGCATGTCCTCTAGGCTATGGGTTCCCGAATGAAAGAAACTCCTTCCCACCTACCTTCCTTCCCTCTTTCTTTCTTTCCTTTCTTTCCTTTTTTCTCTCTTTTTCTTTCTCTCTTTCTCTTTCTTTCTCTTTCTTTCTATTCTTCCACTCCCTCGCTTCCTTCCTTCCCTCCCTCTCTTCCTTTTTTCCTTCCTTTCTTTTGTTTTTCTTTCTTTCTGTCTTCCTTTCTTTCTCTTTCTTTCTAGTCTTTCCCCTTCCTTCCTTCTTTCCTTCCTCCCTTCCTCTCTTTCTCTCTTCCTCTCACACTTTCTTTCTTTTTTCTCTTTCGATTTATGTGTTATTCTGTGCTTTCACTTTTTATTTCCTTTTTCTTCCCTTCTTTTCCTCCTCCTCCTCTTTTTTCCTCCTCCTCCTTCTTTTCCTGTCTCTTTCTCTCTTTTTCTTCCCTCCACTCCCTATCTTGCTCTCTCTCTTTCTTCCTTTACTTATCTCCAGGGCAAGAGACACATTCCTGACTTGCTGACTCACTACCTAAGTTAATAATATATGTAACTGCAACAAAGACAAAAATAACCAAATGCATGCTACTACCAAATAGAAATATAACTTGAAATGTCAGAAAAATGTACATTTTAATTTATACTCCGTGCTCTATTTTTTAAATTTTTGTGAGTACATAGTAGGTATATATATTTTTATAGGGTTCCTGAGATATTTTGATACAGGCATGCAATGTGTAGTGATCATATAAGGGTAAATGGGATATTCATCACCTCAAGCATTTATTCTTTTTTTGTGTTGCAAAGAAAAGTACAATTCAATGGTTCTCCTTTAGTTAGTTCTAAATGTACAGTAAATTATTGTTGTCTGTAGTCACCCTATTGTGCTAACAGGTACTAGATCTTATTCATTCTATTGAATTATATTTTGTATCCATTAACCATCCACATTCCCCACTGCCCCACTACCCTTCCCAGCCTCTGATAACTATCATTCTACTCTCTACTTACATGAGATCAGTTGTAATTTTAGCTCCCACAAATAAGTGACAACATATAAAGTTTATCTTTCTGTGCCTGTCTTATTTCACTTAACACAATGTTCTCCAGTTTCATTCATGATCCTGCAAATGATGAAATCTTATTCTTTTGTATGGCTGAATAGTGTTACATTACGCATTTGTGCCACATTTTTCTCTATCCATTCATTTGTTGATGAACACTTAGGTTGCTTTAAAATATTGGCTATTGTGAATAATGCTGCCATAAACATGAAAATGAAGCTATCTCTTCAATATACTGATTTTCTGTCATTTAAGTATATACCTAGCAATAGGATTGCTAGATCATATGCTAGTTCTAATTTTAGCTTTTTGAGGAATCTCCAGAATGTCCTTCATAGTGGTTTTACTAATTTACATTCCCACCAACGGTGTACACGGGTTCCTTTTCTCCACCTCCTGGCCAGCATTTTTATTGTGTGTCTTTTGGATATAAGCCATTTTAACTGGAGTAAGATGATATCTCATTGTAGTTTTCATTTGCATTTCTCTGATGATCAAGGATGTTGAGCATGTTTTCATATACCCATTTGCCATTTATATGTGTTCTTCTGAGAAATGTCTATGCAGATCTTTGGCCCATTTTAAAAATTATATTATTCGATTTCTTTTGCTATTGACTTGTTTTACCTCTTTATACAATCTGGTTATTAATCCCTTGTCAGATGAGTAGTTTGTGAACATTTTTCCCATCCAATGGATTGTCTCTTCACTTTGTTGATTGTATCTTTTGCTGTGCAGAAGCTTTTTAATCTGATGTGATGTTAGTTGTCCATTTTTTCTCTGGTTGCCCGTGCTTGTTAGGTACTACTCAAGAAACCTTTGCCCAGACCAATGGCCTAGAGAGTTTTCTGAATGTCTTCTTTTGTTAGTTTCATAGCTTGAGATCTTAGATTTAAGTCTCTAATTGATTTTGGTTTTATTTTTACATATGGTGAGAGATAGGAGTCAAGTTTCATTCTTCTGTATATGGATATCCAGTTTTCTCAGCACCATTTATTAAAGAATATATCCTTTCCCCAATGCATCCCCTTGGCAACTTCATTGAAAATGAATTCATGGTAGTATTTTGTTCCATTGGTCTGTGTATCTGTTTTTATAATAATGTCATACCATTTTGCTTATTATAGTTCTGTAGTATAATCTGAAATCAAATAATGTAATTTTTTAAATTTTGTTCTTTTTGATCTGAATAGATTTTGCTATGCTGGATCTTTTGTTATTCCATATAAATTTTATGGGTTTTTTTATTTCTATGAAGATTATTACTGGTTTTTGACAGGGATTGCATTGAATCTGTAGACTGCTTTGGGTAGTATGAACATCTTAAAAATATTGATTCTTCCAATCAATGAACACAGAATATCTTTCCATTTTTGCCTGTCCTCTTCAATTTCATCCATCAGTGTATTATAGTTTATATTCTTGAGATTTTTACTTCTTTGCTTAGGTTTATTCCTAGGTAGTTTGTTTTATTTGTAGCTATTGTAAATGGAATTACTTTCTTGATTTCTTGTTCACCACTGGCATATAGAAATGCTACTGACTTTTGTATGTAGATTTTCTATCCTGACACTCACTGAGTTTGTTTATCATTAACAATAGTTTTTTTGTGGATTATTTAGGTTTTTCTAAATATAAGATCATATTATCTGCAAACAAGGATAACTTGACTTCTTCCTTCCCAGTTTGTATATGCTTTATTTCATCCTCTTGTCTAATTGTCTAGCTAGAACTTCCAGTCCTATGTTGAATAAGAGTGGTGAAAGTAGATATTTTGTCTTGTTCCATATCTTAGAGGAAAAGGGTTCAGTTTCTCCCCATTCAGTATGATACCAGATGTGTGTCTCTCATATATGGCTTTTATTGTATTGAGGTATGTTCCTTCTATTCCTAGTTTTTGAAGGTTTTTGTCATGAAGGGATACTGAATTTCATCAAATGCTTTCTAAGCATCAATTGAAATGATCAAATGGCTTTTGTCCTTTATGTTCTTGATATGGTGTATTACATTCATTGATTTGTGTATGTTGAACCATCATTGCATCACTGGGATAAACCCTATATGGTCATAATGAATGATCTTTTTAATGTGTTGTTAAATTCAGTTTGCTAGTATTTCATTGAGGATTTTTGCATCAATGTTAAACAGGCATATTAGGCTGTAATTTCATTTCTTTTTTTTTTCTTTTTGCTGCATCTTCGACTTTGGTACCAGGGTAATACTGGCCTTGTAGAATGTGTTCAAAGTATTATTTCCTCCTTTATTTTGTGGAGTAGTTTGACTAGAATTGGTGTTAGTTCTTTAAATGTTTGCTAAAATTCAGGAGTAAAGGTATTAGGTCCTAGGCTTTCCTTTGCTAAGAGGCTTTTTATTACAACTTCAATCTCATTACTTGTTATTGGTCCATTCACGTTTTGAATTTCTTCATGGTTCAATCTTGGTAGGTTGTATGTGTCTAGTAATTTATCCATTTCTTTTAGGTATTCCAATTTATTGGCATATAGTTGTTCATAGTAGCCTCTAATGATCCTTGAATTTCTGCAGTATCTGCAGTTTTAATATCTGCATTTTATCTCTGATATTATTTGGGTCTTCTCTTTTTTTTTCTTAGTTTGATGTGTTAGTTCATTTTCACACTGCTATAAAGAACTACCTGAGACTAGTTAATTTATGAAGAAAAGAGGTTTAATTGATTCACAGTTCTTCAGGCTGTACAGGAAGCATGGCTGGGAGGCCTCAGGAAACATACAATTATTGCAGAAGGGTAAAGGGGAAGCAAGTGTATTTTCACATGGAGGCAAGAGAGAGAGCAAAGGAGGACATGCCACACACTGTTAAAATATCACATCTCATGAGAACTCACTCACCATCACAACAACAGCAAGGGGAAAATCTGCCCTCATGTTCCAATCACCTCCCATCAGGTTCCTTCTCCAACATTGGGAATTACAATTCAACATGAGATTTGGGTGGGGACACAGAGCCAAATCATATCATCTGGGTAAAGTTTCATTAATTTTGCTTATCTTTCAAAGAAACAATTTTTCATTGATCTTTTGTATTTTTATTCCTTTCCATTTCATTTATTTCTGCTCCTGTCGTTATTATTTTGTTTCTTCTATTTATTTTGAATTTGATTTGCTCTTGCTTTTTTAGATCTTTAAGACACATTATTAGATTATTTATTTGAAGTGTTTCTACTTTTTTGATGTGGGTGCTTATTGACACAAACTTCCCTCTTAGTACTGCTTTCATTGTATCTCATAGGTTTAAGTACATTGTGATTCCATTATCAGTTGTTTCAATAAATTCATAACTTTTTTTCTTAATTTCTGCATTGACCCACTGGTCATTCAAGAGCATATTGTTTAATTTCCATGTTTTGTATAGTTTCCTAAGTCAATATCTTGTTATGGTTTCTACTTTTATTTCATTATTTTCTAAGAAGATATTTGATATTATTTCATTTTTTTTGAATTTTCTAAGACTTGTTTTGTGGCCTAACATATGGTCTATCCTTGAGAATGATCTTTGTGATGAAGAAAAGAATCTGTATTCCAAAGCTGTTGGATGAAATGTTCTGTTAATATCTAATAGTTCCATCAGATGTTTCTATGTTGATTTTCTGTCCGGATGATCTATTCAATGCTGAGAGTTGAGTGTTGACGTTTCCAGCTATTATTGTATTGAGATCTATTTCTCTCCGTAGCTCTAATGATATTTGCTTTATATATCTGGGTGATCCAGTGTTGGGTGCATATATATTTACAATTGTTATGTCCTGTTACTTAATTCACTCATTTATCATTATGTAATGACCTTCTTTGTCTCTATTTAGAGTTTTGTCTTGAAATATATGTTGTCTGATGTATCTGCTCCTTCTCTTTTTTGGTTTCCGTTTCAGTAGAATATCTTTTTCCATCCCTTTATTTTCAGTCTACATGTGTCTTTATAGATAAAGTGTATCTTGTAGGCAACAGATCATTGGATTTTCTTTTTTTCATTAAGCCACTCTATGTCTTGATTGGAGAGTTTAATCCATTTACATGTTATTATTGATAAGTAAGGACTTAATTCTGTCATTTTGTTATTCATTTTCTAGTTGTTTTGTGGTGTTCTCTCTCTTCTTTTCTTTCTTCCTGTCTTCCTTTTAGGAAAGAGAATTATCTCAGGTGGTATATTTTAATTTCTTTAATTTCTTTCTTTTTATTTTTTATGTATTTGTTGTATGTGCTTTCATTTGGAATTGCCGTGAGGCTTGCAAATAATAGCTTAAAGCCCATTATTTTAAACTGACAAGTTTACAGTGATTGCATAAACAATCAAACAACATAACAAACAAGCCAAAAGAAATGCAATGAAAGCTTTACACTTTAACTTCATCTTTCACTTTTTAACTTTTTGTTGTTTCTAACTATTTTTATTATACTACTTCTTGAAAAGTTTTGTTTTTATTATTTTTGCTAGTTTCATGTTTTAGCCTTCCTACTCAAGATGTGCATAGTTTACACACTACAAATACAGTACGGTAATATCCTGTTTGTGTATTTAGTATTACCAGTTGAGTTTTATACCTTCAGATTATTTCTTATTACTGATTATTTTCATTTTCTTAAAGATTGAAGAGGTTTCTTTAGCATTTCTTTTTGGACAAGTCTGGTGTTGATGAATGCCTTCAATTTTTATTTGTCTGGGAAAGTCTTTATTTTTCCTTTATGTTTGAGGATAGTTTCACTGAATGTAATTTCCTAGTATAAAGGTTTTTTTTTTTTTTTTTTTAATTTCAGCAGTTTAAATACGTCATGCTACTCTATCCTGACCTGTAAAGTTTCCACTGAAAAGTCTGCTGCTAGACATATTGGAACTCCTTTGTATGTTATTTGTTTTCTTTTTCTTGCTGCTTTTAGAATCTTTTCTTTATCCTTGACCTATTGGAGTTCTATTATTAAATATCTAGAGGTGCTCTTATTTGGATTAAATCTGCTTGGTGTTCTATAACCTTCTTTTAATTGTGTATTGATATTTCTTTCTCTAGATTTAGAAAGTTATGTTATTATCCTTTTGAATAAACTTTCTACCCTGATCTCTCTCTATCTCTCCTTTGACCAATAACTCTCAGATTTGCTCTTTTCGATTTTATTTTCTAGACCTTGTAGGCATCCTTCTGTCTTTTTTATATTTTTCTTCTGTTTTCGTCTACTGTGCATTTTCAAATAGCTTGTCTTCAAGCTCACTAATTCTTTTTTCTGCTTAATCAGTTCTGCTGTTAAGAGACTCTGATGCATTCTTGGGTATGTCAATTTAATTTTTCAGCTCCAGAAGTTTTGTTTCATTTCTCAAAATTATTTCAATCTCTTCATTAAATTTTTCTGATAGAATTCTGGATTCCTTGTATGTATAATCTTGAATTTCATTGAGCTTCTTCAAAACAGCTATTTTAAAGTCTCTGTCTGAAAGGTCCTATCTCTGTCACTGGTGCTTGGTGTAGTTTGTTTGGTGAGGTCACGTTTTACTGAATGGTATTGATGCTTGTGGATGTTCATCAATGTTGTGGCATTGAAGAGTTAGGTATTTATTGTAGTCTTTGTAGTCTGGGCTAATTTGTATTTGTACTTCTTGGGAATGCTTTCCAAGTATTTGCAAGGACTTAGGTGTTGTGATCTAAGTCTTTGGTAACTGCATCTATATGTGCATTAGAAGGGACCCCAAGCCCAGTAATGTAGCTCTGGCAGACTCATAGACATAATGCCTTGGTGTTCTAAGGAAGATCCAGGAAAATTCCATGTTACAAGGCAGAGACTCTTGTTCTTTTTCCCTACTTTCTCCCAAACCAATGGAGTCTTTCTCTATATGTACTGAGCTACCCGGAGCTGGGTGAGAGGTGAAACAAGCATCTCTGTGGCCACCGTCACTGGTGCTGTGATAGGTCAGACCTGAAACTAGCACAGCACCTGTCTTGCCCAAAGTCCACAGTGTACACTCCCTGGCTATCACCTATGTTCACTCAAGACCCAAGGCTCTATTATCAGCAGGAGATAAATACAGCCAGATTTGTGTCCTTCCATTCAAGATGATGAATTCTCTTTGGCCCTGTGCAGGTTCAGAGGTGTTGTCCAGGAGTCAGGACCTGGAGTCAGGAGCCTTAGGAATGTACCTGGTGCTCTGTTCTACTGCAGCTGAGCTGAAACTGAAGCACAAGGCAATGTCTTTCCCACTCTTCCCTTCCCTTTCCTAAAGTAGAGGTGTCTCTCTCCATGGCAACCACCACCCTAGTCCATAGTGAATACTGCCTGGCTACCTGCATTGTTCACTCAAGGCCCAGGAACTCTACCATCAGCTTGTGGTGAATGTTGTCAGGCCTGATTCTCTTCATTCAAGACAGTGGGACCCCTCTGGCTAAGGGCAGGTCCAGAAATGTCATACAAAAGCCAAGCTCTGCAATTGGGGACCATAGGAGCCCCATTGGTACTTTACTACACTGTGGCCAAGCTAGTGCCTAAGCTACAAAGCAAAGTCTCTTTACTCCTCTCTCTCTGATTCTCAAGCAGGAGACTCTCCCCATAGCCACTATAGCTGGTAGTGTGATGGGTCACACCTGAAGCCAGCACAGCTCTGAGTTTCACCCAAAGCTCATGGTCATTACTACCTGGCTACTGCTGATGATTATTTAGGGGCCAAAGGCTCTTTAGTCAGAAGGTGATAAATCCTACCAGAATATTGTCCTTCCCTTCAAGGCAGCAGGCTTCCTTCTGGCCCAGATGTGTCTAGAAATGCCATCCATGAGCTATGGCCTGTAATGGAGGCTACAGGACTCTGCCAGTACTCTATTCTACTGTGGCTGAGCTGGTATCAAAGTTTCAAGACAAATCCCTCTTTATTTTCCCTTCTTTTCTCCACAGTGGAAGGAAGGAGTGCCTTCCACAGCTGCAAGCTGTGCTGCCTGAGGCTGGTGTAGGATTGATGCAAGCCCTCCTTTGGCTGCATCACCTGGTGTCTCACTAGGTTTCATGTACCAGCTTTGAGCTCAGCACAGCACCTGGGCTTGCCCAGGAATTGCAGTCCTTGTGGTGTAGACTGCTTTTCAAGTTTATTTAAAAACTCACAGCATTTAGCACACAGTCATGGGGCTTATTGGAAATCAGACTCCACCTACTGGGATGGACAATTTGCCTCTGGCTAGGCTGGTCTAAATGCTCCTTCCATGGGTGTCACTTGAGTTCTGCCTTGTTTGCTTTCTGCTGTGACACAGCAGAACTGAGTTCCAATGCAAAGTGCCACAATCACTGCATTCTCCCTCTCCCAAGCACAAGCACACAGATTCTCTCTATACACCATGTGACGGCTGCCAAGGGATGGATGAGGGGTGATTTAAGCAATTCAAGACTGTGTTTCTCACCCTGCTTAGTGCCTCTTTCCTAAACATGATGTTAAAACCAAGTACTGTGATGTTAAAACCAAGTACTGTGATCACTCCCTTCTAATCATTCACTTTTTTGTGTGTGGATTGTTGTTCGATTTGGTGTTCTTCTTGAGGGGGGATAATTACTGGAGGCTTCTATTCAGCTGTCTTGATCTGCCTCTTCTTCCATAGCTCTATTTTTTTATTGACAAATGTTTTTTACCTATTGATTGGAATATGTGATATTTTATTACATGCATAGACTGTATAAGGATCAAGTCAGAGTACTTGGGGTATCTATCACCTCCAGTATTTATCACTTCTATGTGTTGGGAACATTTCAAGTTCTCTCTTCTATTTTGAAATATGCAATACATTGTTGTTAAGTATAGTTAGTCTATTCTGCTATCAAGCATTAGAACTTATTTCTTCTATCTAACTGTATGCTTGTACCCATTAACCAAACGTTCCTTATCCCTAACCATCCATCCACACAACTTTGCCAGCCCATTCTGTGGCGTGAGTTGTCATGTCTCCTTATTCACTTCAGACTGAGTTTGAGCTCTCTGTTTTCTTTTGGTTTATCTAGCCAGCTATTTATTATTGATTTTGTTTATCTTTTCAATAAACCAAGTTTTCATTTTGTTGAGCCTTTTTTTTTTGTTTTTATTTTGTTTAGTTCTGCTTCAGTACTTATTATTTATTTTCTTCTACTAAGTTGGAGTTCAGTTTATTCTAGTTCCTTGAGGTGCATCATTAATTTTTTTTTATTTTAAATCTTTCTACTACTTTGATGTAGGCATTTATTGCTATAAAGTTTCTTCATAGCACTGCTTTTTCTATATTCCAGAGGTTTTGTTATGTTGTATATCTGTTTCCATTTGTTTCAAGACTTTTTAATTTTAATTTCTTCCTTAATTACTTCCTTGACCCAATGGTCATCCAGGTGTTAATTTAGCATGACATTTAATTTCCATGTAATTGTACTCTTTCCCATGTACCTCTTGGTATTAATTCCTTTTTAATTTTACAGTTGTCTGAGAAGATACTTCATATAATTTTGATTTTTAAAAATTTCTTTAAATTTGTTTTATGTCCTAATATATGTTCTATCATGGAGAATGTTTCATGAGCTGATAAAGATGTGCATTCTGCAGCAGTGGGATGAAATGTTCTGTAAATGTCTGTTAGGTCCATTTAGTTTAATTGCAGTTTAAATCCAATGTGTCTCTGTTAATTGTCTGTCCAGATGATCTGTCTGATGCTGAGAGTAGGGTGTTCAAGTCCCCAAATCTTATTGTATTGGAGTCTATCTCTCCTTTTAGCTCTAATAATATTTGATTTACATATTTGTGTGCTCTGTGTTGGCTGCATATATGTTTAGAACTGTTATATTCTCTTGCTGAATTTATCCCCTTAGCATTACATATGACCCTCTTTGTCTGTTTTTACTTCTTCTGACTTAAATTCTGTTTTATCTGATATAAGTATAGCCACTCCTACTCAATTATGGTTTCCATTTGCACAAGTGTAATTTTCCAACTTTCACTTTCAGTCTAAAATTGTTTTTACAAGTGAGATTAGTTTCTTTTAGAGAGCATAGACAGCATATAGCTGGGCCTGGTTTTTGTTTGTTTGTTTGTTTGTTTTTAATCCATTCAGTCAGTCTACATCTTTTAAGTGGAAAGTTTAATCCATTTACATTTAATGTTATTATTGATATGTGAGGGTTGTTCCTGATTGATTTATCATTGTTTTGTATATCCTTTGTTCTTTTATTTCCCTTTTATTGTTTGCCATTTTGGTTTTTTTTTTTTTCTGCAGTGGTAACATTTGAATTATTTCTCTTCTTTAATTTTGTGTTTGTTTTATCAGTGGGTTTTGAAATTTCATGTTTTTTCATGGTGATAAATAGCATCCGTTTGCTTCCAGTTATAGTACTCTCTTAAGCAATTTATGTATGTATGTATGTATTTATTTATTTATTTATTGAGACACAGTCTCGCTGTGTCACCCTGGCTGGAGTGCAGTGGTGCGATCTCAGCTCACTGAAAGCTCTGCCTCCTGGGTTCATGTCATTCTCCTGCCTCAGTCTCCCAAGTAGCTGGGACTACAGGTGCCCACCAACACGCCCAGCTAATTTTTTGTATTTTTAGTAGAGACAGGGTTTCACTGTGTTAGCCAGGATGGTCTTCATCTCCTGACCTCATGATCCACTGGCCTCGGCCTCCCAAATTGCTGGGATTATAGGCATGAGCCACCGTGCCCAGCCCTTAAGCAAATTTTAAGGGCCAATCTAGTGTTGATGAATTCCCTGAGCTTTTGCTTGTCTGAGAAAGACTTTATCTGTCTTTTATTATCTTATCTTATAAAGGATAACTTTGCCAACTCTAGTATCCTTGATTAGCTGGTTTTATCTTTCAGCACAGTGAATATGTCATCCCATTCTCTCCTGGCCTGTAAGGTTTTCACTGAGAAATCTGCTATTATTCTAGATTTACGTCTAAGGGAATAGATATTTTTCTCTTACTGTTTTTATCTTCTTTCTTTGTCTTGACTTTTGATACTTTGATTTTAATATGCCATGAAGAAGACGTGTTTGATTGTATCAGTTTGAGGATTTCTGAATGTCTTGTATCTCAATGTCTAAATCTCTTGGTAGACTTGGAAAGTTTTCTGCTATTATTTTGTTAAATATGTTTTCTAATTATTTTGTTTATTTCTTTACCTTCAGGGACAATGAAAATTTAAATATGCGGTTGCTTTATCATGTTTCACATGTCACATAGATTTTGCTCACTCTTTTTGGTTCTTTTTTTCTGAGTTTTGTCTCACTGGGTAATTTCAAAAGACCTGCCTTCAAGTTTTGAAATTATTTCTTTGATTTTCGCTAATCTACTTTTGAAGTTTTTAAATGCATTTTGTACTTTATTCAAGGAATTCTTTAGTTGCGGAATTTCTGTTTAGTTCTTTCTTATATCTATCTCTTTGGAAAACTCTTCATTCAGATCCTGAATTGTTTTTCTAATTTCTTTGTAATCTTAAAAATTTCATTGTATCTCATTTAGATTATTTAATATCATGATATTGAATACTTTATCGGGAATTTCATAATATTCTCTCTTTTTTAATATTAAATTTTTTGAAGTTTTTTATTGAGGTTTTATACATATAAGTGTGTTTATGTGTGTTTATGTATATATGTATATATACATATATATTACCTTCATCATTTTTAAGTGTACAGTGATAATGAACACATTTATATTCCTTTTATCTTCATCTTGGGATTTCATAAATTTCTTTTTGATTGGAATCTGTTGCTGAAGAATTATTGCGTTCCTTTGGAAGTGTCATATTTTCCATGCTTTTTTATGTTTCTGTGTCCTTATGTTGATATCTGCACATCTGGTGTAATAGTGACTGCTTTCAAATTTTTCAATTTGCTTTCATAGGGGAGGAATTCTTTTTGAGTATGTATTTATGGTGTTAGTTCAGTAGAGTACATTGGCTTTGATTCTGGATGTGTGCAGTAGTGTGGACTCTGTGTGATGTCTTTGGCTGTAAAAAGCATCAGTGGTGTCTGTTATTTCCTCAGTGATTTAGGGTAAAGTTGTTAGTGGAGGCTGTGGTGAAGTTTTGCTGGGCTCAGGATGCCAGTTGGGCCAGTGCTCAGGGACCAGTGGTGGCAGCAGCAGGCAGAGCATGCCTGTCCTTGGTCCCTAGGGCTGAATACACTGGCACCAGTTTTAGATGGTTCAGAGGGATGAATTTTTGAGCCTCTAGGCATTGATAGGCTTTGCTGGTGGTGGGTTATCAGGCCTCTAGCAGCCTGCATGTTGTGGACAATGGCAATAGCAGTGGGGTGTCTAACCTTTGGGAACCAAGTGGTATTTGCCAGTGTTAGCAGTGGCTGCAATGAGCAAGGTGGGCCAGTTTCCAGGCCCACAGAAGCATGTGCAGTTTAGTGCCAACTGTGATGGTAGCAACAGGTTGGGTGGGCCTGATCTCAGTCCCTTAAGAGGAACACTCGGGTGTCAACAGTAGTGGACTGGGCAGGGAAGTCCCCAGGCCCTTGAACAGCATAAGAATGTAAAGCAGGGCTTGGTGGGCCCATCCTCCAGCACCCAAGTGGTGTGGATAGGCACTGGCTGTGGTAGGCAGCAGCAGATTGAGCCCAAGGCCCACAGCAGAATGCTCTGGGTGAGGGTGGCAGCAGCAGTGGCTGCACTGTAGACCTACTATTGGGGAGAACAGGTGTGCTTTCAGGGACAACAGTCATAGGCAGACAGCTGAGGAGTATGTGCTTCACTTGTGTTTCAACCCTGGATGTGACAGCTTGTAGTGATGGCTACTGCTAGTTGCAGAGTTTGCCCTCAGAGTGCATGAAAATGTGAAGTGACATCACTCCTGGGGCAACAGGGTATTTGCCAAAAGCTCATACTTCAGCCCTGGATGCAGCATCCAGCCATGGTGGTGGCTGAAGGTGGGGAATCTCTGAAGGCTCTAGAGATGTGGGGATGCAAGCACTGTTGGACCTCCAGGCAGGATGCAGTCTGGTGGAGGCTGGGCTCTAAATATGCTGTCTTTCAGTAGCTGCTTAGCTTAGAATGTATTGGACTCAGTGTGAGCTCCCTGTCTGGAACAATGTTTTCATACTGCCTCCATGCAACTCCTTATGCTAGTCTTAGGGACTGCAAGGGTCTAGGGGCTTTCCCATGCCCAGGATGCAAGAGTCCATAGTGGAAATGTGAAGCTCTATGGGTGACTCACTTATCCTTGACTGCAATGGAGAATCTCTTCAGGCTACCGGATGATCCCAGAGAAGCAGACTGCCATGCTTCCCTCTCCGTGCTTATTTTAGGTGTTTCCTGTAGCTTCTCTGTTGAATTCCAGTGTTCTTTCTTACATTATGTATTTATGTATTTGCATTGCAGTTATCTTCTCACTATTTTGGTTCCCCTTTGTGGAGGATAAGACTACTTGGTGCTTTTAATCCACCTTCTTTTCCTTCTTTTTTTATTTATTATTTTTTAATTATTTTAGTAGAGATGGGGTTTCACCATGCTAGCCAGGATGGTCTCGATCTCCTGACCTCGTGGTCCCTCTGCCTCAGCCTCCCAAAGTGCTGGGATTACAGGCGTGAGCCACCATGCCTGACCCGTTAATCCACCTTCTTGAAGGTGCTTTCTGAGATTTACCTTTATTTATTTTTATTCTGGACTGATTTCCCTTAGACTTTGCACATGTGTATTAATATTTGTTGGCTTACTCTTTTTTTTTTTTTTTGAGATGGAGTCTCACTCTGTCACCCAGGCTGGAGTGAATTGGTGCAATCTCGGCTCACTGCAACCTCTGCCTCCTGGGCTCAAGTGATTCTCGTGCCTTAGCTTCCCGAGTAGCTGGGACTACAGGTGCACACCACCACACCCAGAAAATTTTTTCTTTTTTTTGTATTTCTAGTAGAGACAGGGTTTCACCATGTTGCCCAGGGTGGTCTTGAACTCCTGAGTTCAGGCAATCTACTAGCCTCAGCTTCCCAAAGTGCTAGGATTACAGGTGTGAGCCAACACGACCGGCCAGTTAGTTTACTCTTAAAATTCCTAAATAATTCCAAATCTCTCTTGGGATTATTTTTCCCATACTTCTGGTAATCTCTTGCCTACATTAAACTTAAATTCCTTTTATCATAAGTTTACAATAAAAAAAAAATCTAACCTCTGTAAATAGAATCATCCTCCATCCGTAGAACTATGTTCTCCTTTTTTCTCAAGCCAGAGCTCAAAGAAACCAATGACAATGACCTTGTAAGATTTGAAAGTGAGAAATATGAGATTGCAAATTGCACTGCCATTCCCTATCCTATGCTGTCAGAAACATCACCAATCCATCAGAATTCTTTCCTGTGCTGAGCTCAAGAGTTATTTATAAATGCATCTCAATTAATGGCTTATTATTTTTTCCTTAATCATTTTACTTAATTCCTACAACAAACCAAGGAGCTAGGTGTTACTAATCCCATTTTACAAATGAGGACACTAAAATCTAGATAGGATTGTAACTCATCCAAGGTTATGCTGTTAGCAGTAGGTGATTACAAGATTCCAGTCTAGGTTTGTCTGGTTCCAAGGCCCATGCTGTTAAAACTGTGTTGCCTGTGGTGGTATGGCCTGATTGGTTGGCCTGATTTGTTGGCCATGGGAATGACAGGAAGCCACATATTAAAGGACTCTCCCTTGAGGTGTCTTAGGAAGAGCCCCAATGATCAGGTGAAGTCCTTGGCTCTTTCTGAAGCAGCCAAATGTGTATAAAACGGTGCTATGTAAGTTCGATGAAGAAGTTCATTTATAGAACATATCCTTGCTCTAGAAATATGTCATTACAGAGCATAGTGATACATTGCCTATGTATTATCCCACACTAAGAAACAAACCATATTTATTCAAACCAATGACCTATTAGGCTGAATTCAAATTATTTGCTGAAAGCAAATAAGTAATTTTCACTTACACAGGGAATTTTTTAACATGTTGATGCATGTGTCACCACCTGCAAAACACTGTGTTTTTTCAGAGTATCTAGTTTAATTAAGGAACTTCACTAAAATGAGGCATTATCCAAATAGCTGTATCCATCTGTTATTGTGGAGAGAGGAAGGGAAGGGGAAAATTCAGAGATAACATGCTGACCTTAACATGCAACTAAGGATAAATATTTTCTGCTTTCAGAGCATTATCCAGTATTCTTTTTAAAAGATAGGTCTGCCTATTAGCTAGTTGGCAATGCCCTGTGTCTCCCACCAAGAAGACATCTGAAAGGCTGTTTCTGCAGGAAATGCCAGGAAGGCTTTCTGGTCTTCCCTACAACCAATAGGTGTTATAAGTCTCACCCATGTTCTTGTCTATGCTTATGTGACGATATCTAATGAGACAAAAAGATCCAGTCAGTCCAATATACCACTGATTTTTAAGATGACCCCAAACAGGGAAAACAGAAGTTAAAGATCACTGCCAGTTACAGGATAATTAATTTTAAATAGTTTTATTACAATGACAAATTAAAATTCAGGAAAGTCAAGCTTTGGATCACGCCTGGGTTTGAGTCTTGGCTCCACCAGCTATTGGTTTTGTAACATTCGGTAAGTCATTTAACAGCTCTGGGTCTCAAATTCTCATTCTGTGAAGTGTGAATAATGCCTAAGTCTCAGGATTATTATAAAAAATAAACAGATAAGTCAAAGTATGAAAGGTGAGTAACATACTGCCTGGAGCAAAGCAAATACTCAGAAAAAATTCAACTTTCATAGCTTTCTTTTTTCTGGGAGCCAGAATTTCATATTTTTTTCACACCCTCAATTGCATATGTTTTGTGCCCTGTAAGTTCAAGTATTCAAGGCAATATATTTCCACTAATTTCCTAACAGAGTACATATTTCTGTTTACACTTAATGTTGAATGCATGTAGACACAGCCTTAAGCAAGTGATTTCTGCTGCCAGATATTATGGTGGAATACAATTATTCGAGAATGACTAATTTTCATTGAGTTCCTACTAAGTGGCAGTTGCTTTGTAAAGCACTAGGGAAAGAATAAAAAGAATAAGACATACTTTCCGCCTGTGAGGCATTCACAATCTAGCAGGAAAGGATTAAGTTAACTAAACCATGTATCCCATAAAGTTATATGAAAGGGAAGGTGGGACACAAAGGCATGATCAAGAAATAAATCTTGAGAAAGGTAATGTTTCATAAGGGCCTTGGATAGTAAGTCAAATTTTAACAGGAAGAAAGGAGAGTAAGGACATGTTGGACAAAAGTCTTGGAAACAGACTAGAAAGGACCTAGGATGGCAACATTTAAGTATTTACTATTTGGAATGGCAAGAATTTAATGAGGTATATAAAGCAGGAGAGTGACAGCACTGTATCAATAGAAATAACTGATAAAATAAAAACTAGTCTGCACTTAGCCAACCATACCCAAGGTTCTATTTTGCTAACATTAGTGTGCTTAGTGTGCCAGATTTTTTTCTATTCAATTGTAAATGTATGTGGTTGCACACACACTATAAATACATTTCTCTGCATGAGTTGCATATGCAAATACGTATATAGGAGGCAGAACTTCCAGAGTGACAGAGTCAAGAGCTAGGAGTAACCTAGCCTAGAAAAGGAGTAACCTTTTCTTGGCAAAACAAAAATTTTATTGTTGAAGACCATAAAAAATATTTATAGTCTAGGGAAATTGTCTAAGAGCATACAGGAATTGAAGAATCATTCACTGGAAAAATCTACTAAGTCTCAGTAAGAACAGTGAGTTTCTATAGTATTTGGGTCATGACCCACTTGCTTTCTACCCCCTTCAGCCCAGCATGCAAAAAACTATATTGCAGATTGGTATAGCCAAAAACACAGGGCTCCCTTTTCTGATCCTTTCCCCCACCCCAGCTTTCATCTACGGAGCTCTGCAACGCTGCCTGAGGGTTTTTATTATTATTATTGTTGTTGTTAAAAAGCATGGGGAACTCTGTGACTAAGAGAAGTATTCAAAATAATGGATATCTTAGTGGTGAGAAATTAAGAGAGACTAGAAGCTCCATGATACAAAGCATGATGCAATAGAGGGAAACATTCAGAGCTTTAATAGAGAGAACAAGGAAAAGAGATATCTAAGAAGAGTACTCCTGGAATCATACTCAACCCCGGGAGTCAAGAAGGCTGTGCTTCGCTCACTCAGAAGCAATCAGCACAGGAAGTGGACAGACTTGAAGGTGTTTTCAAAACCACACACAGACCAATTACAAGGGCACACCCCTCAATGGCACAAATGCTTAAATTCAACTTCTTATGAAACAAACACTTACTGGCAAGCTTCTCTGACACAAGTGTGAACTCCTAGGAAGCTATGTTTAGAAATAAATCATAGCCACCACTGGTAGTCTGAAAGAGTGTGCATGCCCAATGCTGTGCCCTCAAAACAGCAATGAGAAGAATAACCTCCAAGGTCTTGGTCCCAAGCTGAATTTAGACAGTAGTCTGTAAGCCACATACATATTCAACATATCAACATATGGAGGAAAGATCTTACTGGCTGAGAGAGTTTAATCATAACATTTGACTAATAAGTGGCTATGCTGACTAGGACTGACCTATAAGTAGCCAAGCTACAAGATTAAAACAAACAAACCAAAAAAAAATCTGACCAGGGACATAAGAGACTGCATGCTGAAAAGTAATGGATTTCAACCATGTTACTAAACAAATAAACAAAAAAACCAATCAAATAACAATTACTCCTTCCTGTAGCGGATCTATATTCAGATTTGTTATACTATCTAAAATAAGCTGTTTTCAATAAAAAGTTAGGAGACATGGAAAGAATGTGAATGTAATGCATACACAGGGAAAATGGTCAATAGAAGCCCTTCCAGTTTTTCTGTTCTGTTTTTTCCCCATCTTTGTGGTTTTATCTACTTTTGGTCTTTGATGATGGTGATGTACAGATGGGTTTTTGGTGTGGATGTCCTTTCTGTTTGTTAGTTTTCCTTCTAACAGACAGGACCCTCAGCTGCAGGTCTGTTGGAATTCCCTGCTGTGTGAGGTGTCAGTGTGCCCCTGCTGGGGGGTGCCTCCCAGTTAGGCTGCTCAGGGGTCAGGGCTCAGGGACCCACTTGAGGAGGCAGTCTGTGGAGTTCTCAGATCTCCAGCTGCATGCTGGGAGAACCACTGCTCTCTTCAAAGCTGTCAGACAGGGACATTTAAGTCTGCAGAGGTTACTGCTGTCTTTTTGTTTGTCTGTGCCCTTCCCCCAGAGGTGGAGCCTACAGAGGCAGGCAGGCCTCCTTGAGCTGTGGTGGGCTCCGCCCAGTTGGAGCTTCCCGGCTGCTTTGTTTACCTAATCAAGCCTGGGCTATGGTGGGCGCCCCTCTCCCAGCCTGGCTGCCACCTTGCAGTTTGATCTCAGACTGCTGTGCTAGCAATCAGTGAGACTCCGTGGGCGTAGGAACCTCCAAGCCAGGTGCGGGATATAATCTCGTGGTGCGCCGTTTTTTAAGCCCGTTGGAAAAGCACAGTATTCGGGTGGGAGTGACCCGATTTTCCAGGTGCCGTCCATCACCCCTTTCTTTGACTCGGAAAGGGAACTCCCTGACCCCTTGCGCTTCCCAAGTGAGGCAATGCCTCGCCCTGCTTTGGCTCACGCATGGTGCATGCACCCACTGACCTGTGCCCACTGTCTGGCACTCCCTGGTGAGATGAACCCGGTACCTCAGATGGAAATGCAGAAATCACCGTCTTCTGTGTCGCTCACACTGGGAGCTGTAGACCGGAGCTGTTCCTATTCAGCCATCTTGGCTCCTCCTAAACCAAGTAGTTTTAACAGACATATGGAACACTCTGCCCAGCAACAGAATACTAATTCTTCTCAAGGGTACATGGAACATTTTCCAGGATAGACTATGTTTGGGCCTATACATTGTCTCAGTAGGTGTGAAAGGATAGCTATGAAACAAAGATTCATCTCTTACCACAACAGATGAAGTTAGAAATCAGTAACAGAAGGAAAACAAGAAAATTCATAAATTTGTGGAAATGACAAAACACACTCAAATAACAAATGAATTAATAAAGAAATCACAAGGAAAACTGAAAAATATTTAAGATAAATGAAAATATAAACATAACATACCAATATTTATGGGGCACAGTGAAGGCCACACTAAGAAGAAAATTTATAGCTGTAACACATTAAAAATTAATCAAAAATGTTTTAAATCAGCAGATTAACTTTATAACTTAAGGTACTAGAAAAAGAAAAACACAAAGGTAACAGAAGGAAGGAAATAATAGAAGAGCAAAGATAAATGGGATAGAGAATAAAATAATAATAGAGAAATGCAACGAAACTAAAGTTGGCTCTTTGAAAAGATCAAGTTTGACAAACCTTTAGCTAAATAAAAAAAGAGAAAAAGCAGGGCAGAAAAGACTCAAATTACAAAACTAAAAAATGAAAGACATTACTACGGATTTTATAGAAATAAAAGGATTATAAGACAGTACTACGAGCAGTTGCATGCCAACAATTGGATAACTACATGAAATCCTTATAAACTCGAAAGCTACCAAGACTAAACCATGAAGAAATAGAAAATTTAAATAGAACTATATAATGAGTAAGAAAATAAAATAAATAATAAAAATCTCCCAACAAAGTAAATCCCTGGACCTGAAGCCCTCACTAGTGAATTCCACTTAATCTTTAAAGGATAATTAATGGAAATTTTTTTCAAAGTTTTCCAAATATATTGAAGAGGTGAGAGCACTTCCTGACTGACTTCATGAGACAAGCATTACCCTGATGCCAAAACCAGGAAAACACAATTGAAGAAAAGAAAATTACAGACCAAAATCACTAATAAACATAGATGCAAACGTTTTCGACAGTATACTAGAAAACTGAATTCAACAGCACATTAAAAATTTACTCACTTGGAAAGCAAGGTTCAATGTATACAAATCAATCAATGAAATATACTACATTAAGGAAATGAAAGAAAATATTACACGATTATCTCAATTGATGCAGAAAAAGCATTTGACATAATTCAGCCTTACTTCATGACTGAAAAAAGACAAAGTAGAAATAGAAGGCAATTACCTCAACATAATAAAACCCATATATAAAAACTCCACGGCAAACATTATATTAATAGTATTAATAAAAAATTGGAAGCTTTCCTTTAAGATCAAGAACATTTTTTTCTCCTTAGAAAACCAAAAAAGTGGGCCATACACAGTGTCTCATGCCTGTAATCCCAGCACTTTGGGAGGCCAAGGTGGGCAGATCACGAGGTCAGGAGTTCAAGACCAGCCTGGCCAACATGGTGAAACCCCCATCTCTACTAAAAATACAAAAATTAGCTGGGCATGGTGGTGCATGCCTGTAATCCCAGCTACTTGGGAGGCTGAGGCCGGAGAATTGCTTGAACCAGGACCCGGGAGGTGGAGGTTGCAGTGAGCTGAGATTGCACCACTGCACTCCAGCCTGGGGTACAGAGCGAGACTCTGTCTCAAAAAAAAAAAAAAAAATAAAGAAAAAAGAAAAGAAAACCAAAAAAGTACTTATTGATTGATTCTTTAGAGGTTTTTTAAATAAATTTATACACGATAATTGTACATATTTATGGTGTACAGAGGGATGTTTTGAAACATACAGTGTATAGTAATTGGATCAAAGTAACTACCATATTCATTATCTCAAACATATATCATTTCTTTGTTCGGGGAACACCAAAAAACCTCCTTCTGGCTATTTGAGACTATATGATATATTATTGTTAACTATAGTTATCATACAGTGATATAGAACACTAGTACTTATTTTTCCTATCTAGCTGTAATTTTGTATTCTTTAACAAATCTCTCCCTACCTCCCCATTTCCCCTATTTTTTCCAGCTTATAGTATTCTTTGTTATATTTTTTATTTCTATGAGATAAACATTTTCCAGCTTATGCCTATGAATGGGAATACTTCTCACTTCTATTTAACATAGTACTGGAAGTCCTAGTCAGAGAACTTAAGCAAGAAAAATAAATTTAAAAATTCAATCAGAAAAAAAGAAATAAAATTATCTCTGTTTTATGATTTCATATGTAGAAAACTAAAGATTCTATATAAATATATACACAAAATACTCAGAATTTAAATGAATTTAGCAAAGAAGATATAAAGTTCAGACACACAAATCAGTTGCATTTTTATATACTAATAATAAACATCTAAAAATAAAATTAAGAAAATATTTTCATTTGCAATACCATTACAAATAATAAAATACTTAAGAATTAACCAAACCAAGGAAGTAAAAGACTTGTACAATGAAAATTATAAAACATTAACCAATAAAATTAAGGAAGACATCAATAAATGAAAAAATATCTCACATTCTTGATTAGGGGTTAGTATTGTTAAAATTTCAACAGTACACAAAGTGATCTACAGATTTAATGCAATCTCTATCAAAATGTAAGTTCAGTTTAACATCCAAAAGTTAATTTATGCGATATGCCATGTCAGTAGAATAAAGAAAAACTATATGCTCATCTCAATAAATCCAGAAAAAAATTTGACAGAAATACAATACCAAAAACAAACAAACAAAAAAACTAGGAGTAGAAGCCTCACCCTAGTAAAGGGGATTTGCAAAAAAATTAACAGCTACCATCATACCTAATGGTGAAAGACAATTCTTTTCTCCTAACATCATGAAAAATATAAGGATATTCATTCTTGCCACTTCTAACGTTGTACTGGGGGTGCTGGCCAGGGCATGTAGGCAAAAATAAGAAAGAGAAAGTACCCAGATAGGAAAAGAAAAAATAAGACTCTCTATATTTTCAGATTACATAATTTATATGTGTGTATACACCTATAAATATACACTTGTTATGAGCATTATAAAAACTGAAATTAAGAAAACAATTCCATTTATAATAGCATTAATAACCCAGAATACTTAGTTATATGTTCAAAAAAGTAAGGACAAAACTTGTATACTGAAAACTAAAAAACATAGGAAGTAATTAATTATTTGTATTTACCTTATTATTTCCCTGATCATTCTTACCACCACAGAGATTGAAGACTTTATTGGGCAGTTTGCTTCTTCAGCGATGTACTTATTTGTATGCATTGTTCAGTATTCTTCTGGGATGTCTGTTATTTTCCTATTCAGGCATTGGAACTCCTTTTAAAGATACAAACCCTTTTCTTATAAATATTGCAAATATTTTCTCCTGACAAATCATTTGTCCCTTCATTTCGTTTAATTTTATTCACTTTTCTACTTTTTCTCCCATATTTGCTCTGCTTCAGGCACTCAGTCCCTTAGATGTTCTCTAAACATTAAGAATTTGCGGCCAGGCGCGGTCGCTCACGCCTGTAATCCCAGCACTTTGGGAAGCTGAGACGGGCAGATCACGAGGTCAGGAGATCGAGACCATCCTGGCTAACACGGTGAAACCCCGTCTCTATAAGTCTTTATTCTAATACAAAAAATTAGCCAGGCGTTGTGGCGGGCGCCTGTAGTCCCAGCTACTCAGGAAGCTGAGGCAGGAGAATGGCGTGAACCGAGATTGCGCCACTGCACTCCAGCCTCGGAGACAGAGCGAGACTCCGTCTCAAAAAAAAAAAAAAAAAAAAAAAATTAAGAATTTGGAATTTTCAATGACTGTTCTCTTTGCCTAGAATGCTTTTCTCTGGATTCTCACCCCTTAACCTCTCCAAGTCTTTGTCACATATCACCTTCTTAATGAGGCCTACACTAACCACTGTATTTAATTTCAGCACACTCCCGTTGCCACAAAAGCCAGGCCAGATCATCTTTACTCTGCCTTTTTTTATAGCACTTAGAACCTTCTAAAAGAATATATCATTTATTTTTATGTTTTTATTCCCTGTTTTTCCAGTAAATTTAAAATTAATAAGAGCAAGTATTTTTGTATGTTTTGTTCCTCATATATACCAAGATTTTTGAACAGTTAGTACATGTTAGGGGCTTATAAATATCTGCTGAATTGTATAATTTATGATCACTTCTTCCAAATAAGTTTTTAATGTTTTATGTTATCAAATCTAGAAGAGATACCTCTAAGAATAAATATATCTTTATCTTGCTGTGTCGAGATATACTACACTAAGATTAGGAACATATTCTCATTTATTTTTTATTATGCTTTTATAATAATTATCATTGTTGATTTACACTTACATTTTGACTTGAACTAGAGTATAATTTGGGTGAGGTAGAAACTTTGAAAGCTCTTTCATTATAAAACCTAGTTGTCTTAACAGTAGTTAGAGAACAGTCGATTCTGTACCCATTAATAATTAGCATGACCTTTAGAATATGCTAAATCTCATTTGTATTGCTTTCTGAATTTTATTCTTTTTCACTCTGCAATAACTTTACTTAAAATAGTTTTACACCTAAAATTATAATAAATTTATAGATGTATTTGGGTGAAACTGCCCCATATTTTCTAGTTGAGTATTTGCTAATTTCTAGAAAAATTAATCCCCTATATTCAATCTGTTCATTCCTTCACAAACTACTATGACCAGATATTGAATCTCCTCTATATATATTCTATACCACATTAACTTTCTTTCATAACTTGTACTTTTATTTTTTTAATGTCTTTGAGATTCCTACTTAATTATTCAAGTTTATCTTTTGTTGTGTCCAACCGCACAAAAGTTTCACTGATATTTTTAAAGATTTCATACATACAGAGAAGTACATAAATGTACACGCAGAATTTAAAGAGCATTTTAAAATGAACTGTGATAATTTCATCTAGAAGGGAAAATGGAACATTTTTCCATGTATTTTTGAAAATTTATTCTGAAATAATTTTACTAACTGTATATTCGGATATGTGCTATTATACTCATCTATTTGGTGTTTTTTTAATCTAACTTTCTGAGTTCTCATTTCATTTCATACTTTTGCAAATATGCTAGAAAATTTTTAGTTTCTTGTTCCATACATGCATTTTTTCCAATCTTCTATTGCTTTAAACACAAATAATTATAATTATTTTATAATAGGTATTTTAATAATTCTGATATCTGGCCGGGCGCGGTGGCTCACGCCTGAAATCCCAGCACTTTGGGAGGCCGAGGCGGGCAGATCATGAGGTCAGGAGATCGAGACCATCCTGGCTAACACAGTGAAACCCCGTCTCTACTAAAAATACAAAAAATTAGCCAGGCGTGGTGGCGGGTGCCTGTAGTCCCAGCTATTGGGGAGGCTGAGGCAGGAGAATGGCGTGAACTCAGGAGGCGGAGCTTGCAGTGAGCCGAGATCCTGCCACTGCACTCCAGCCTGCGCAACAAAGCGAGACTCCTTCTCTAAATTAATTAATTAATTAAGATGAAGACATTATCTTGAATTATACAGGTATGCCCAAAGTAATGTCAAGGCTCCTTATCACAGGAGGGCAGTAGCATCACAGTCAGAGAAGAAAGTATCATTGTGGGGGGAGAGATTACAGGAAATGAGAAAGAGGTCATGACCCAATAAATTCATCCTGCCTCCAATATGGAAAAGGCAAGAAAACAGATTTCCACCAGAACCTCCTGAAGAAATGCAGCCCTGGTGACCCCTTTATTTTTGGAATTCTTAACCTCTGTAATTATAAGATGATAAATGTGGGTTGTTTTAAGATACTACATTTGGAGTAATTAGTTACAATAACAATAGGATACATACGGTTATTTAAGTAATTTCTTAATTATGGTAACTTTTCCCTATGTGCTTTGTTATTTTTCGTTGTGAGCCGTATGTTTTTTTTCCAGAAATTATTTGTGAGACTTCTTCATAACGAGGTTGAAGGTGAGTTTCTCTGGAAAGCATTCGCTTATATCAAGGCTTATGTGTTCCGCCAATACCAGTCTACTGTAAAGTATTTTCATGTTGTGTCTGTATTTTTGGACCAACAAATAAATTGCCCTGCTTATGTTTTCATATCTTTTCTTTTTCATCCTGTAAGTGTTTCTTCTATTTATAAACAACCAAAGATGTGAGGATAAAAATAAGACTTTTTTTTAATGTCCTCACGTTGGTTGTTGGTTGTTTAAATTGTAGAGCATCAGTATGTTACCAAAACACCAGGGGTTCGGTCTGGGTTCTGCTACCTCCCACACAGAAGGGCAATGACTGAGACAATGAGTATTGCCAAGGAAGAAGGCTTTAATCAGGTGCTGCAGCTGAGGAGATGGGAGCTCAGTCTCAAATCTAACTCCCTGACTGACTAAAACTAGGGGTATATAGCAGGGAACAAATAAAACAATGTGTAAGAAAACAGATAGTAGGGACGGGCAAGTAAGCAATCATGATGAATAAGGGGTTTGGTCATTGGCCATTGTCTGACGTGATCTGGTGAGATTCAGTTGTTTGATACATTTTTTTTTTTTTTTTTTTTGAGACAGAGTCTTGCTCTGTCTCCCAGGTGGGAGTGCAATGGTGCAATCTTGGCTCACTGCAAACTATGCCTCCCAAGTTCAAGTGATTCTCCTGCCTCAGCCTCCCGAGTAGCTGGGACTACAGGCACCTGCCACCACGCCCAGCTAATTTTTGTATTTTTTAGGAGAGATGGGGTTACACCATGTTGGCCAGGCTGGTCTCTAACTCCTGACCACAGGTGATCCACCTGCCTTGGTCTCCCAAAGTGCTGGCATTACAGGCATGAGCCACCATGCCTGGCGGATATTTTTTTGCGGGGGAGGCCTGAAGGTCCTTTTCTGAGGAAGGAACTCATATAAAAAAATATAATCTTCAAGCTTTAAGTCCATAAGGGTTAATTTCAATCTGTATCCAAAAAACTCCATATGGGACTATCAGTTTCAAGTACAGCACTGTAGATAGATGGAATTACTCTCTACAGCAGACTACCTTCTACAGTGAGATAACCGAAAACTGTTAGTAAGAAGGCTTTCATTTGTGTTACCTGAGAGAAGAGGAGGAAGGTGTTTAGGAATTCGTGCATTTATCTTTTATTATTCTTATTTTTATCTTGCTCTTGCCTTGTGGTTGCTAGGTTTTTCTGTCCTTTAGTTGTTGTTATTGCTATTCCATCTGCTTTTTATCTTCCTTACACCATTAAAAAAAAAAAACAACGGTTTGAAGAAACCAGTTTGAAGTCATAATCAAAAGAGACATGGTAGCTACATATTGTATAGATTTTATAAGTACCTGAGAATATTACATTATCATTAACCTTAACCAAATGTCACAGAAAGACAGTATTTTGCTTGCAGGAAAATAAAGCTAAGGGTGTGGTATGATGAATTTCATATTCATACTTTGTATAAAGGCAGATGCTTGCATGATTTGGAGTTTTTCCAGGCTTAAAGACTATAAACTTTATCAAGAATCTCAACCAAAGACAGTTGTTTCCTCCATACCATCTGTGCAGCAGCAAGATGTTACATAAAAATCCAAGCCAGAGATGGTAATTATGATAAGGATATATTGGTACACTGATGAACATTAGTTATCATTATAAAATTTAATTACTTACCATTATTAGTAACAGATGTATTGTCCTGTAAAATAAGTACTATTACAGATATTTTAAAGAAAGAATGAGAAACGTCATTTGTTGAAAACTATTTGACTTCTCTACCATAGAACAATTGATTGAAATTTACTTTAAAAAATTTTTACTTTTTATTCGTCTACATATATAATAATGATTACTTGTTTAATTCTGCATAATTGGGTATCTGAAATTATGTACCTGGATCCCAGAGTAGTCTATGTTAAAGTAGCTTGGTTTCATATCAAAGCATGAGACTCTCTTTATGTGACATGCACCGTGTTATAACCCAGGCCACCTTAAATAAGTTGATAAAGATCCTTCAAGATTTGTTTTAACTCATTCATTCATTCAATCAGCAAATACTGAGTATAAGGCACTTACCTAAATGCTCAATATACATCAATGAACAGAGAAGATGAAGTTCTTTTACCTCCTGGAACTTATAGTCTAGCAAATAATTTATTATAAATACATAATGTATAAAAGTGATGTGTTATGACAGAAACCTTAGAGTATGATAAGAAAGATCAGGAGTGCTTTGATTTGGCAGTTTTAAATAGGATGATTATGGTGGGCCTTCTGAGAAGGTTTTATCTGAGTAGAAACTTAAAGGAGTCATGGAGTTAGCCATGTGGATATCTGGAGGAAGAGCACTGTATGCAGAGGAAACAGATAGTAACCAGGCCCTGAAGCAGAAGCATGCCTGGCATAATTGGAGAATAGTGAAGAACCCAGGTTTTTCTGAATAGATTGAAAAAAAAGGAAAGGAGAGAGTAGTAGGAGTTGATATCAGAGAGAGATTGGAAGGACAGATCATGAAGGACTTTATGGGCCATTATGTGAACGTGGGCTGTTTCATGAAAAAAATTGGGGAAAATTTTGAGTTGAACAATGAATTTAATCTGGCTTTTATTGTAAAAGGTTCCCTCTGGCTGCTGAGTGGAGGAGAAACCAAAGTTAGGAAAGGATAGAAAAAGTACAATGATGAGCAGGCTACTCTGTTACGTGGACAGGCAATGATGGTGGCTTGGTTTAGAGCCAGTGGTAGATAAATGCAGGACATATATCAAATCATCAAGTATATAAATTATTACAATTCTAGATTATATATTGGCCTCCTGACTGCCCAAGTGAATACTTTTACTTGAATATAATAATCAATCACTTTAACTTCAAAACCAAAAATAGTTAATGAAATTTTCATGTACTTCTAGTTATGAATTCTAAAATAAATGGATGATATTTTCTTTTATTTCCATAGTAGTCGTGGTTAAGAACTAAAGGTGTAGGATAAAGCGAGAAAGCAAAGCAGGGTTAATGAGCTTCAGAAATGATAGCTCTGTTTGCTGGACCTAATTCAAAGTGGAAATGTAGAGGAGAGTGTTTGAGCATGGTGACCTCATGATTTAAAATGTAGAAAGCAGAAGTATTGATCTTTTCTCCTTCTATCAATCAAAAATGCCAGAGAGAGTCGCACAATTTATTATTCTTCCTGTTCAGTAAGCAACACTGAAGAAAAGCAAGAAAGTAGGGCTTTGCTAAAGCAAAGCAAAGGAAGGATACTTGGCCACAATAAAGATTCAGTGATACCTTGCTTTACTGTGAATTCGTCATGGACTTAGGTGTTTGCGAGACAGGGAGTCAAATAGAGACTCTACCTTTTCTTTAGCCCCGTGTGTCACCTTTAAAAAGTTAAGTAATCTCACCAAATTTTATATTCCTTATTTTTGAAATATATTTTTAATATCATCTAAAATTCATAACAATTTGTGATCATAATTATAATTTCATCCTCCTTATTACTAGCTATTATTGACTATTTTGTACATCAATTGAAATAATATTGTATAAAATTAGATCTCACTGTCCTCTGTGCCCACTTTCCAAAAAAAGGAAAAGGTAACTAAGACAACCCACAGTGTACATCGTGTATATTTTCTGGAACAAGAAAGAAAATGCCTAAAGAGGAAACTGAACAGTTGGTATCTTGTTAGAAGGGGATTTTTTTTTTCCAGTTTCAACAATAACCTGATGAGGTTGCTAATATTTTCCACCTCAGCTTGTGTTTATTAAGATGATTTTAAAAGGCAATGAAGTGGAGAATGCATTGGAAATCAGGCTAAGTGGCTACATATTTTATTTAATTATCTGATGAAAAGGGCAAAACAGTGAGAAGAGCTCTTCTTTTGGTACATGCCAAAATAGACGTACTCAGAATGGAATTCTGAACAAGCCTCCTCTGCACTTAACTAAGCCCTTCTCTCTGTCCCCACGTGGCTTACTTGACTGAAAACAATTCACTAATAGGTACAGAGAGCACCTATATGATATGCTCGACATTGAACCAGGTATTGTAAAGGAAGCACCAAGATGACACCTTTGTAATACTGATGATGTAAGAATGGCAAATATGAATAACAGCAACAAGCCTGAAAGATAAGAATTGTGTAATAATGTTCATAGTAACAGCTGTATGTTCTGTGTAAGGCACAGAACTAAGACAGCCTCAGAATACTAGGGAAGGGGCCTGGTGTGGTGGCTCACCCCTGTAGTCCCAGTAATTTGGGAGTCTGAGGTGGGAGATGAGCCCAGGAGTTTGAGACCAGCCTGGGCTACATGGGGAAATCATGTCTCTATAAAAAAAACAAACATTAGCTTGGCGTGGTGGCACACATCTGTAGTCCCAGCTACTTGGGAGGCTGAGGTGGGAGGATGGCTTGAGCTCAAGAGATAGAGGTTGCAGTGAGCTGAGATTGTGCTACTTCACTCCAGCCTTGGTGACATAGTGAGTCTCAAAAATAAAAAAAAGAATGATTTATAATCCTTTGGGTATATACCCAGTAATGGGATTGCTGGGTCAAAAGGTAGTTCTGGTTTTAGATCCTTGAGGGATCATCACAGCAGCACTGTTCACAATAGCAAAGACTTGGAACCAACCCAAATGCCCATCAATGGTGGACTGGATAAAGAAACTGTGGCACATATACACCATGGAATACTATGCAGCCATAAAAAGGATGAGTTCATGTCCTTTGCAGGGACATGGATGAAGCTGGAAACCATCACCATCATTCTCAGCAAACTAATACAGGAACAGAAAACCAAACACCTCATGTTCTCACTCATAAGTGGGAGTTGAAGAACGAGAACACATGAACACAGGGAGGGGAACATCACACACTGGGGCCTGTCAGGGGGTGGGGTGGGGAGGGAGAGCATTAGGAGAAATACCTGATGTAGATGACGGGTTGATGGGTGCAGCAAACCACCATGGCACGTGTATACCTATGTAACAAACCTGCATGTTCTGCACATGTATCCCAGAACTTAAAGTATAATTTAAAAAAAAGGAAGAAAGAAAAAGAAAAGAAAAAGATAGGAATAATAGGGAAGTCTTTATAGTTGAATGTGAGATTCAAGTCATATCTGGAAGAATAGGTAAGCTCTGGATATTTAGAAGAGAAAGGGATGCTAGACTTGGAGTCACACAAATCTGTGTTTCACTCTCTGCTCCATTACAAGATGCATCACCCTTAGAAAATTAGTAAGTGCTAGGTTATTTCATTGTATGTTGGAATTAGACTAGAATCTGTCATGTGTGATCACTGTGAGATTTCAAGAAGGTGATGCATATGAAGTACTTCACACAGAGCCTGTCATATAGCAAGTTCTCAGAAAATGATGGGAATTGTTCTTGTTCCTTTTATTGTAACTATTATTATTAATTAAATAAGAATAACAACACTGACCTCAGGAGATTATTGTACAGGAAGACTTTCAACACCATAACTGGTTTTTGGAGCATATGCATCTGTAATTAGTTTTGGGGCATATGCATTTGCATATGCATCTGGAGATGGGAATAAGGCATGCAGTGTTTACAAAACAGTGAACACAAAACCTTATGAGAGCTAAGCATAGAATTCAAGTCCAACTGAACAAAAAAGAAACAAGTTTCATACTGGAAGATGTTGGTTAAATGCTTTGAGATGGGAAAACTGGAAGTCTTTTGCTTTGGTTTAGATTAGCAATGTGTTTAATCATTTGTAGCAATTGTATTACAATTGTATAATGGCCCCCACCTGGGGTGAAGGCAAAGATTCTGAACATACAAGGCTGTGCATCAGAGTGGAATGAGGCCATTATTTCCTTTGGGTAAGATTCATTTCTCTTGCACGAAAACACCCGGTGCTCTTTGTTTTTCAGTTCAACATTTCTAGTGGAAATAATTTATGGTAATACAGGCAGATATCATGGAGCATGTAAGGAACTGAAATAAATTTGAGTCTCAAATGAGAAACCTTGGAGTGTTGACAATAGCAAGATGGTCCTTTGGAAACAGCAGGTCTCATTATTTTTCCACACTGATCATCAAGGGATTTGGCTGTAAGGGGTGGTTAAGTGGCTGAAGTTTTAGTTTTGACTTCCTTCTCCTCTACTGAGACAATTACTGTCAGGGTCAATTAGTCTTCCCAAATTTGCAGATAAAGTTCTATGCCATTATCATTTCAGATATTGTTAAAGCAAGTCTCAAATACCACAAGTCTGTCAGCTGTAAATGGGCATTAAAAGTCTCTGACAATATTGTCTTGTGGTTTAGTTCCAACTTTTCTCTTTTATTTTTTCCTTTCTTGAAATTAAATTAAAATAAAAATAAATTAAAATTAAAATAAAAAATAAATTTAAATTTAAATTTAGGAAAGGTTTTGGCAAATTTTGTATCTTGAGATACATACCATTAATAAGATTTGAACTAAAGGATGTTGAGCTAAAATAATTAATGTAATTAAAGTAATTAATGTAAATATTATTTAGACAGAAATCTTGATATTTAAATGCATTTTTCACTGATATAATCAATTTGCATTCCTCTGTAAGAGACTAATTCAACAAGTAAAAATGATTGATTTCAATGAATTAGAGCAATTGAAAGATGCATCTCTAAAATGCTACTAAATACATAATATTTCTTCAAACTATGATATTATCTGTTTTCGGATAGAGAAAAAAATTGTAAACTTTTCTGATTATTCTGATTCCGACTCAAGTAGAAAACAAAATAAAACATAAATACTCTAAGTGTTTAAGTCCTCAGAATTCTGAACAAAAGAACAAAAATAATTTGAACACCATACATTTCCTCCTGCTAGGGTTGGACATTTGGTTTTATGAAGGTCATTTCCCAAATGCTTCTCACAATTAAGCATGCAATATCGCTGCTCTGTTAAGATGGGATAAGGTGACGTCCCTGTTTTATGAAACTCATTACCAACAACTCAGTGTGCACCTAAATAGCCTCTGAAGAAAAACAATGTGCCCAATTCCTGTTTGTGTGGCACATAAATATAATGTTGAAAACTGTTGTGTGTCTTCTTTGGGGAAACATATCTGAAATTGTTCATGTGTCTAGTAGCAAATGTTTATGGATGGATTTTCTTCCTGCCTCCCTCACAGCATCCTATCAACATTAGAGATACAAACTGAAAGAGATTGCAGAGGGAATGACTCAAGCCTAGGAAGAATTGACAACTAGTATTTCTTACATGTACTTCCTTTTTAGAAAGCTATAAAGGATGAGTATTTTAATGGTTGAGGAAGAAAAACATGCCAACAATTCTATACCAATAAATTATTCTCTGCCCTTGAGAAATACCATGAGGATGTGATGAACTCAATGGGGTTGCTGGTACTGAAATAAATGAAGAAACAGGATCCCTCTGGTCTTACTGTTCCATCTCATGCAGCAAGAGGCCTTTAAAATCTCTCTACATTGACATGGAGAAAAATATAATAAGGACGTGACATGTCGAAAGGGTCAAGCCTCAGAAATGAGAATTGGTTGCAAAAAATATGTTATATTCACACAGTGAAATGCTTTATAACAATTATTTTAAAATTGTACTGCTGATATATGCTGGCTTAAGAATTTATAGATGGTACCTGTTCACTCAAAACTTTTAAATAACCAGATCTTCTATATCTTTACATTTTTATTTGCTTGGCATGTAAGTAACCCAAAGTGATGGAGTATATTATGGCCATTATAGTACTAAACTGTGCAGCTTTTCTTGTAGATGTATTGACTGTATTATTTGTGTGTTTGGAGCTATTAGGTCCAAACAAGATAAAATTATTGTATTTCTCTCAAGAATTGGACCTTTCTCATGCTATGACTACCTCTATTCCTAATGATGTTCCTTTCAAAAATTTTTCTGGTAAAGTTTTCTTTTTTTATGTTATTTTAACTGTTCAAACTTTATTTTGTGTATTACTTTCCTGTTATATTTATTCCTTATACTTGTACTCTAATACTTGTCCTTGTGTTTTTAGGTGAATCTCTTAGAAGTAACATAAACTTTGATCTTTATTCCACTGTGATGATAATTTTTGTCATCTACCTAGTGAATTTATTGTCTTTGTGATTACTGGGATTATAGATAAGCTGAGATGTTTCTCACATCTTTGGGTTTTTGGTTGTGGTGTTGTAGTTCTACTTTCTCTATAATGCACCCTTCATTCTTGCCTTCTTTTCAATAAATTAAGTTTTTAAATTTTGTCTCAATTTTTATCCTCTACTAACTTAGATGTTTCTAAATATATATCCCATTTTAAGTGTTTAACTTCAACAAATATACATGTACACTTCACAAGTTCTAAAGTCAATCCGTATCTACCTTCCATTCAAATAAGATGTGTTTACATGTTTAACTCTGCCAGCCTAACAACTTATGTTTTTTTTTTGCCAAAACTTTACTTTTACACCTTTAATTAAGCATTATGTAATACTATTTTACAAACACTATTTGTAAAACACAATAAATATTGTATTTTGTATTTATTGTATTGTAAATATGGGATACATATGAACAAATACTGTTTGTTCATATGTATCCCATATTTACCAATTTCTATATATGTTTTTACTCTTTGCAACTCAAACTTTCATTCTAATGTCATTTCTCTTCTGCTTGAAAGTTCTTAAGTGAGGATTTATGGTTGTTAAACAGTCTCAGTTTTTTCCCTTTAATAATGCCTTTAGTTTGTCCTCATTCTTGAAAAACAGCTTATCTTTTCACAAAATTTTAGATTGACAGATTCTGTCTTTCAAGAATTCGATTACATTTTTTGAGTATTTAGTTGCTGAAGGCTAAGACTGCTGCACTGCCAGAAACAAAGTTATATTACTTTATGGTTTTTTTTTTTTTCAACCAATGTTTGCTACAACAGTCTTTATCATCAGAGGCAGGTAAAGGCTAACTTATTTCTGTTCCTTTAATATTTAATGCTATCAAATGTCTATCTTCTGACTCACAGTCCCTAAATAAAATGCTTATAACTTTGATCTTCCATTTGTTAAAGAATTCTTAGAGGTCTAGAATATCTTAAAAACATAGAACCTATTTCATTCCACACAGTGTAGAGGCAACCTGAATGTGGAAAGCGGAGATGAGAAACAAACGTCTATTAAATTATTTCTCCAGCTAGATATGATGGTACATACTTTATACACAAAATCTCACTGACTTCAAACAACAAATATGTGAGGTTTGTATCATCATTCTTATTTTACAGGTAAGCGTCTAAGATTCTAAGCTGGGATGTGTTCTATTTTACCTGCTGGTTGTGATTCTGTAAGCTCTTTGAAGGGAAGTGCACTGTCTTGTTCATCTTTCTATTCCCAGTACAGTCTTTGTTGTTGAGTGCAACCATTCTGGTGCTTATGTCCAGGTCAAGGTAGTCAATTGGTACAATTCTGAACTTGGCCTCTTTCTTCACTCCCTCAGAAGAAGTGGAATGACTTATCTGGTTGATAAATTTGGAAAGAATAAACGGAACATGCTTAAATTTCTCTCCCCGACTTTTTTCTTATATGGACATGAGCGGCTGCCCACAGAGATTAGCTGCTCTTTCCCTCTCTACCACACCTTCACTCCTACCTGGTCTGTCTTTGAACACATGAGAGGCTGCCTTAGCCCAATATTACCATAGCATGATAGGTAAGTCTGCCTAATTTGGGGTTTTAATTAACAGGCCTATTTGTTTTTACACAAAACTAAATTGTTTAACTTGATTTTTATTAATAAAATGGTGATATTTACACCTCCCACTTATCTTACATTTTGTCTTATTTCTTATTTTGTTTAAAATCTGGCGAGGGAAAAGGGATACTGCTCAAAGACCACAATGCTGGTATAGAATGTTCTACAAAATGTATTAAGGCATTAAATTAATAGATTCATAGGTACTTCCACTTCATTGAACAATTCCTTTCCTTTAGAATTCTCTGTTGTTGTATTAAAAAATAAACTAAGCCTAACCCAAAATAGGTCTACATTTAATACACGTTGAATGTTTATTGCTGAATATTAATGACTTTATTTTTCCTGTTTTTAGAATTTCCATTTCTACAGATGCTTTTCCTTTTTTTAGAAGTCCCATAATTAATAAGTTCATGACTTATTAATTATGAATTTTTAGGAATTAGAAAAAGGGTAGTGGTAGAATATTTCAGGAGGATTTTTTATGCTGCTTGAATCATACCACATAGAATATCATTTAATCTACCCGCAAATAAATTTAGCTCTCCTTTCACATTCAAAATTTCTCTCTTATCAATAGTTTGTAACATTCCAATTTAAGGAATGCCTGAGATTATAAGAAAATAAGAACTTAATTAAATCCACACAGTATCCAGGTGGAAGAGAATCTTTAAGTATCCATTGATTGCCAAACATTAATTGCCAGACTATATTTTCAATAAATATTTGATTAATGAGAATCAATCAATAAATGAATTAAACTCATAAGTAAAATTCCATTTCATAAAACAAAAGAATTCTCAGGCACATCAGATAAAATCTAGGATTCACCTTTTATCTAAGAGAACTCTCAAGTGGAAGCTTAATTTGTAAAATAGGTCAATATAATGCTCTACCTCTTCTCCTAAGCCTTCAGTGAAGATGAAGGTCACTTTGAGAGGTGAAGCCAGCTACACTTCCTGGGTGGAGTGGGGACTTGGAGAACTTTTCTGCCTTACAAGAGGATTGTAAAACGCACCAATCAGCGCTCTGTAGCCAGGATTGTAAAACGCACCAATCAGTGCTCTGTAGCTAGCAAGAGGATTGTAAAATGCACCAATCAGCGCTCTGTAAAACGCACCCATCAGCAGGATCCTAAAAGTAGCCAATTGGAGGGAGGATTGAAAAAAGGGCACTCTGATAGGACAAAAACGGAACATGGGTGGGGACAAATAAGCGAATAAAAGCTGACCACCCCAGCCAGCAGGGGCAACCCACTCGGGTCCCCTTCCAGGCTGTGGAAGCTTTGTTCTTTCGCTCTTCACAATAAATCTTGCTCCTGCTCACTCTTTGGGTCTGTGCCATCTTTCTGAGCTGTAACACTCACCGTGAAGGTCCGTGGCTCCATTCTTGAAGTCAGTGAGACTATGAACCCACCGGAAGGAAACAACTCCGGACACAACTTCTGAGCTTTCAAACCTGTATTTATGGACAGAAAAATCTCAGCTCCAGAGAGAAGGTACTGCCTATGGCCAAGCATAATGAGTAGCAGGAACTTTGCTGGTATCCTGTTTTTCTCACTCTGGTCCAGTGTTTGTGCTTGTTTAACCTCCATTCCTCCATGATGTTAGTGGTCAAGACCCCCAGGATATTTTAGCCAGAATGGTTCTCTATATATGCTATTAAAATGGCATTACAAGTGACTTCAGGAAACTTTAAAGCCTCCCTGGGATAATGACTTCTCTTTGTTCTATTCATTCTCAGCTAGCTGAACTAGAATAATACTTTTAAAGGAATCCCCAGACATAAGACCTAGTTAAAGTCTTTTGTAAACAAGAATAAGAAGGGAGATGAAGAATGACTGTTTTTTCCTGTTCTGTGTATAAACTATAGAAAGAGAGACATTTGCCATTTGGACTAGGGCATTCAAGCAGTCTGGTCTTGGACAATTTAGAATAATAAAGAAAACTCCAAGTTCTTTCAGAATAAACCACATATATTGTAATTAAACACAGATCTCCTTAGTAAGTTTTCTTCTATTACAACATTATTTTCCCACTCCCACCCCAAGGATACAGGCTGTCATGGAGTTGTGTTTACACAAGAGATACAATAGATGGAAAGCAACTTAAAGCACAACTATAATTTTAGAGTTCATAAAATATTACAAATTCATTTATTTTGAGTTAAACAAAGACCAGAATGTTTTCTGGTTTCAAAGACATAGGATGCATCACATGAGCCATGAAAACCTCCAAAGATTCTTTCAGACAAATGACATTTGTCTTAAGTAAGTTATATTCTTTTAGACTAAATAATCACAGCCACAGGGAAATAGATCCTAGTGATGCCAGAGTTCTGGGAAGGGAAGAGTGTGGTCCCTTTAAATGATATGGAAGAGAGAAAGGGAAGTACTGGGTGGAGGTGAGTGTGGTCCCTGGCTAGGGCTCCACACCATGGACCCAGGTGAGGACAGGCACTCCTGCTTTGGAGCCCAAATGTTGCATTTTCCAAGACCACCCTAGCCTGGACCTATAAAAACTTGAGACCTGCTGGATGCAGTGGCTGGTGCCTGTGATACGGGCACTTTGGGAGGCTGAGGCGGGTGGATCACCTGAGGTCAGGAGTTCGAGACCAGCCTGGCCAACATGGTGAAGCCCCTCTCTACTAAAAATACAAAAACATTAGCCGGGCGTAGTGGTGCATGCCTGTAATCCCAGCTACTCGGGAGGCCTAGGCAGGGGAATCTCTTGAACCCAAGAGGCGGAGGTTGCAGTGAGCCAAGAATGCACCATTGTACTCCAAGCAACAAGAGTGAAACTCCGTCTCAAAACAAAAACTAAAACAAAAACTTGAGACCTTAGTGGGAAGATACACAAGAGGCTGGACGTTGAGAGGAGCAGATCCGCGAAAGAAGGCACAGAGACAGGTGGACGTGGAGAGAAGCACATTGGCGGAGGAACACACAGGCGGTTGGACTTCTAGAGGAAAGCACCGACAGGCACGGGCACACCAGCAGGCCACCAACTGGCAGAACGACGTGGAGTTTGGCCAGGGCAGTCAGAGAAGAGCCCGGGCTACTGATGGCCAACTCCAGGGGAAAGCTATCTCCCTTCTATGTCCCCCATCTGCTGAGAGCTACTTCCACTCAATAAAACCTTGCACTCATTCTCCAAGCCCAGGTGTGATCCGATTCTTCCAGTACTCCAAGGCAAGAACCTAGGATACAGAAAGCCTTCTCTCCTTGCAACAATAAGAGGGTCTAATTGAGCTAACACAAGCCGCCTATAGGCAAACTAAAAGAGCACCCTGTAACACACAACCACTGGGGCTTCAGGAGCCATAAACATTCACCCCTAGACACTGCCTTGGGGTCGGAGCCCCACAGCCTGCACATCTATATGCTCCCCTAGAGGTCCCAGCAGCGGGGCACTGAGGAAGTGAGCCACACCCCCATCGCACGTCCTGTGAGGGAACAAGGGAACTTTTCCCACTTCACAAGTTAGTTGTAACAATGTCCATAGCAATACCTTCTGATACTACAATCATTGACTATCCAGGGAAATCTGGAGTCCTCTGGCAATATGAGAAGATGGTCCTGGTTTCAATTTCTTCTGAGACTGGATTGCTGTCATGACATTTGTCATAATGGAGGAGTAGGCTATGCTTAATCTCACCTTAGTTCAAAAGGATACATTTTGATACTTAGAACCTTTCACAATCTTCTTTTATTAAAAAACAAGATACATATTGAGGGTGGCTCCAATTGGAATAAAACAGAGTTTCTAGACATTAGCTCTTAAGTGACAGGAAGATATCTGAAGGTGTCAAATTTGCTTAATAATTTTTTGCCTGTGTCTCCAGGGTTAGCCACTGAAATATGTGTACCTCTAGCATCCTGAATAAATCCAATAATCCTCCCCAACTCCATCACTGGAAATAAATTGCATCCCATAATAAACATCATGAGCATTTACAAATAGTAATAGGGAAGTGAGATCACTGAGGACTTGGTCTCCATTTTGAAATGATTTGCCCTTGTTATTCCCAAATTACATTGTTTCATGTTCTCCATGCACCTTTTCTAGTTGCCCTTAAACACTGGAAATTTCCCAGATGGATCTTGGTTTTATTCAATGATTTGGTGTGATAAGTAATATTTGGGTCCTTCCCATAAAGAGAGGAGGTGAGTAGCATACTATAAAAATTTTGTATTTCAACTAGCAAGAAGAAGAAAACCAAACATTCTAAGAAAACTGAGTGAAAATTGTTACTGTGGTTAACAGAGAAATAATAAAGGATGGCAGAATACCATATCTATTCATGCCTGACCCTAGATATAAAAGGAGAATTGTTAATCAAATTTGGCTAGCCTGCACTACCGTGCCACTTCAGTGGTATTGTGTAGAATGTCTGATTCCAATTGGAGCAACTTTTATTGCCTGCCTTTTCCCTCAGCTTCTTTCACTGTATCACAATTTTAGAGGATATTAGCTGTCTTTACCTATAATCAGAATCATATATAACAATATTTTGCATAATTCTTTGCATGAAGTAAACAATCATTTGCAAACTTTATTTTGATTTTTTTACTTACCCTCTAAATTAGGTAATATTTCGCAAGTCCACATGGTATGTGAAATTGTCCATGTACTCATATGGATTTTCAATATTGAGAAAGACATTTTGCACACTAAAAAAATCTGTAAGACCAAGAGATGTTAATTTTAGATTTTCAAATATCGAATTTAACATAATAAAATAGAGAGGGAACACTCAAACAAATGTAGCCTTTGAGTTTTATAGAGAGATTGCTTCTTTTGCATTCAAGTAAGTGCAGCTGATTGTGGTAGGCAGAAGAAAAATGGCTCCCACAAAGATGTCCATATCCACATTTTCGGAAGCTATAAATATGTTGTGATATATGGCAAAGTGGATTTAAGATTGCAGATGGATTTAAGGTGGCTAATCAGTTAACTTTAAAATAGGAAGATTATACTAGATTATCTATGTGTGCCCAAAGTAATCCAAGGGCTAGGAAAAGGTGGAAGAAGGAGAGAGAAGACTCACTGTTAAGAGTGATACAGCAAGAGAAAGACTTTACTAGCTATTGCTGGGTTTGACGATGGAAAGAAGCCACAAGCCAAGTAAAGTAGGCAGCCTTTAGAGTTGGAAAAAGTATGAAAAACTAATTTTCCTCTAGAAGGAACAATGCAGAAGGAACACAGCCCTGCTATACCTTGATTTACTCCAATGAGACCCATTTCAGATTTTTGACCTCCAAAACTGTAAGATAATAAATATGTGCTGTTTTTAGCCACCAAGTTTACAGTAGTTTGTTACAGCATATTTGGAAATTAATACAATATCCTCATAGATATGTTTTTATAGGAATTGATAGTCTTTCAACTTCTTCTTAAGGCTTCCGGATATGTAGTTAAAATGACAAAGTTCAACTGCTTCTATAAAACCTGAGGCTTTATTGCTTCAATTATTATTTTCTTAGTACCACTTAACATCACTTGAAATGATTTTATTTTATTTATTTATTTTTATTATTATTATACTTTAAGTTTTAGGGTACATGTGCACAATGTGCAGGTTAGTTACTTATGTATACATGTGCCATGCTGGTGTGCTGCACCCATTAACTCGTCATTTAGCATTAGGTATATCTCCTAATGCTATCCCTCCACCCTCCCCCCACCCCACAACAGTCCCCGGAGTGTGATGTTCCCCTACATGGATGTGTCCATGTGTTCTCGTTGTTCAATTCCCACCTATGAGTGAGAAGATGTGGTGTTTGGTTTTTTGTTCTTGTGACAGTTTACTGAGAATGATGATTTCCAATTTCATCCATGTCCCTACAAAGGACACGAACTCATCATTTTTTATAGCTGCATAGTATTCCATGGTGTATATGTGCCACATTTTCTTAATCCAGTCTATCATTGTTGGACATTTGGGTTGGTTCCAAGTCTTTGCTATTGTGAATAGTGCCACAATAAACATATGTGTGCATGTGTCTTTATAGCAGCATGATTTATAGTCCTTTGGGTATATACCCAGTAATGGGATGGCTGGGTCAAATGGTATTTCTAGTGCTAGATCCCTGAGTAATTGCCACACTGATTTCCACTATGGTTGAACTAGTTTAAAGTCCCACCAACAGTGTAAAAGTCTTCCTATTTCTCCACATCCTCTCCAGCACCTGTTGTTTCCTGACTTTTTAATGATTGCCATTCTAACTGGTGTGAGATGGTATCTCATTGTGGTTTTGATTTGCATTTCTCTGATAGCCAGTGATGGTGAGCATTTTTTCATGCATTTTTTGACTGCATAAATGTCTTCTTTTGAGAAATGTCTGTTCATGTCTTTTGCCCACTTTTTGATGGTGAAGTCCTTGCCCATGCCTATGTCCTGAATGGTAATGCCTAGGTTTTCTTCTAGGGTTTTTATGGTTTTAGGTCTAACGTTTAAGTCTTTAATCCATCTTGAATTAATTTTTGTATAAGGTGTAAGGAAGGGATCCAGTTTCAGCTTTCTACATATGGCTAGCCAGTTTTCCCAGCACCATTTATTAAATAGGGAATCCTTTCCCCATTGCTTGTTTTTGTCAGGTTTGTCAGAGATCAGATAGTTGTAGATATGCGGCGTTATTTCTGAGGGCTCCGTTCTGTTCCATTGATCTATATCTCTGTTTTGGTACCAGTACCATGCTGTTTTGGTTACTGTAGCTTTGTAGTGTAGTTTGAAGTCAGGTAGCATGATGCCTCCAGCTTTGTTCTTTTGGCTTAAGATTGACTTGGCGATGTGGGCTCTTTTTTGGTGCCATATGAACTTTAAAGTAGTTTTTTCCAATTCTGTGAAGAAAGTCATTGGTAGCTTGATGGGGATGGCATTGAATCTATAAATTACCTTGGGCAGTATGGCCATTTTCACGATATTGATTCTTCCTACCCATGAGCATGGAATGTTCTTCCATTTGTTTGTATCCTCTTTTATTTCATTGATCAGTGGTTTGTAGTTCTCCTTGAAGAGGTCCTTCACATCCCTTGTAAGTTGGGTTCCTAGGTATTTTATTCTCTTTGAAGCAATTGTGAATGGGAGTTCACTCATGATTTGGTTCTCTGTTTGTCTGTTATTGGTGTATAAGAATGCTTGTGATTTTTGTACATTGATTTTGTATCCTGAGACTTTGCTGAAGTTGCTTACTAGCTTCAGGAGATTTTGGGCTGAGACAATGGGGTTTTCTAGATATACAATCATGTCATCTGCAAACAGGGACAATTTGACTTCCTCTTTTCCTAATGGAATACCCTTTATTTCCTTCTCCTGCCTAATTTCCCTGGCCAGAACTTCCAACACTATGTTGAATAGGAGTGGTGAGAGAGGGCATCCCTGTCTTGTGCCAGTTTTCAGTGGGAATGCTTCCAGTTTTTGCCCATTCAGTATGATATTGGCTGTGGGTTTGTCATAGATAGCTCTTATTATTTTGAGATACGTCCCATCAATACCTAATTTATTGAGAGTTTTTAGCATGAAGCGTTGTTGAATTTTGTCAAAGGCCTTTTCTGCATCTATTGAAATAATCATGTGGTTTTTGTCTTTGGTTCTGTTTATATGCTGGATTACATTTATTGATTTGTGTATATTGAACCAGCCTTGCATCCCAGGGATGAAGCCCACATGTCTAAAACACCAAAAGCAATGGCAACAAAAGCCAAAATTGACAAATGGGATCTAATTACACTAAAGAGCTTCTGCACAGCAACAGAAACTACCATCAGAGTGAACAGGCAACCTACAAAATGGGAGAAAATTTTGAAATGATTTCATGTGTTTGTTTGTTGCTGTTTCCTTTAGTACAAAGTAAGTTGCATGAGAGCAGGCCTTTAATCTGCTCTGCTCATTGGGTTCAATGCCTAGAAAAGTACCTATCACATATTGGGTATTCCATATATGTTGATTAAATGAATGGATGAATAAATGAGTGAATGATAGATAGTCAGTAGCAATGAATATTTGAGTGAAATAAATCAATAAATTGGAGCTATTCTTCTCATTTTCCTAAAGTATGTGAGTGAGAATACATGTTATGGTTAATGCTTCCCGATGAAGTTAACCTTAATTTTTTTTCATTGCATTGCTTTTTTTGCCTCAAGAATAAATGTGTTTTCTTTATTGATTTGCATATTCAGTATTCACATGTACTAATCCATGCCTCTGCAGTCACTCTGTAGATTTAGACTGATCATTTTTCTCTTCTTACTTCCAACAAATCCCTTTGGGAATTTTTAATGTAAGCACAGCTGGAAATATGTGCAGTCAAGGTTTTATGCCCAAGAATACAGTGACCCTTTGATGAATGAGGATTTTCTACAACTGATTTTTTCTTGTGAAATGTCTCCCATTTTAGCAAGTTGCTACAACCTCCTACCTTCCCTGTCCCATTCGTCTCCTGGAGACAATTTCTGAGCTCCTGGAATACCCTGCCTGATAATATTTCCATAAGCCTGAGGCCTTGGGCCATGCTATGGCAATTTGAGCATATAAGTTTATCCTAACAGTCTGATTTATGGTGAATACCTGATTTTGCTCTTGAGGTTACAGTCTGGTGGGTGAGGTCAGTCACAGAAGCACTGAATGTGTGCATGACTGACAACCAATAAAAAACCCTGGTGACCAAAGCTGGGGGGAGCTTCCCTGATGGCCAATACTTTGCATGTGTTGTCCCACATTGCTGCTGGGAGAGTTGTGTGCATCCTCATGGGACTCCACTGGAGAGAAAAACTTGTAGCTTGATTTCTTCTGGCCTTCATCCCATGGGCCTTTTCCCTTTGCCGATTCTAATCTCTACATCTGTTCTCTGTAATAAACAATAACTATTAGTATAGCAGCTTTTCTGAATCATGTGAGTTGTTTCATTCAATCATCAAGTCTTAGGAGGGTCCTGTGGAACCTCCTGACCCAATTCATTAATTTGTGTATTCCTCATGATAACCCTATGAAGTTGGTTTGAGTTTTTACCTTCGTCTCAGAGATGAGGACACTAAGAGTTATTTTGCCAAAGGTGAAGCTAATCTAACAAAAATGGAAAGTAAATAAGAAATAACAATTTTTTTATATTTGAATATTTAAATATTTCTGCCTTTTAAGATAACAATCAAATACAGGCACACCTTAGAGACATTTTGTGTTTGGTTTCAGACCACTGAGATAAAGCAAATACCACAATAAAACAAGTCACAAATATTTTGTAGTTTTCCAGTGCATATAAAAGTTATGTTTACACTATAGTGTTGACTATTGTGTGCAGTAGCATTATGTCTAAAAAGTATATATACCTTAATTAAAAAATGCTTTGTTGCTAAAAAATGTTAATAATTATCAGAGCCTTTAGCCAGTCATAATCTTTTTGCTGGTGGAAGATCTTGTCACAATGTTGATGAATGCTGATGGATCAGAATAAAGGTTGCTGAAGTAGGGGTGGCTGAGGCAATTTCTTAAAATAAAACAATGAAGTTTGCCACATCAGTTGATTATTTCACGAAAGATTTCTCTGTAACATGCAATGCTGTTTGATAGCATTTTACTATCAAAATTGCTATAAACAGATGTGCTGTCACCCAGTCTTCATTGTTTCATTTATAGAGCACAGGCAGAATAAATTTAGCACAATTCTTAAGGGTCCTAGGATTTTTGGAATGTTAAATGAGTATTTAACTTAAAGTTACCAGCTGTCTTAACCTCTAACAAGAGGGTCAGCCTCTCCTTTGAAGCTTTGATGCCAGACGTTGACTTCTCCTCTTTACCTATGAAAGTCTTAGATGGCATTGTCTCCAATAGAAGGCTATTTTGTCTATACTGAAAATCTGTTTAGTGTTGCCACCTTTATCAATTATCTTAGCTAGATCTTCAGGATAATTTGCTGTAGCTTCTACATCAGTACTTACTGCTTCAGCTTGTACTTTTATGGTTATGGAAACATATTCTTTCCTTAAACTTCATGAACCAACCTCTGCTATTAATATTCAGAGATATTAATATTAACCTCTGCTGTGAATTATTTGAATATAATATTCAAACTATTCTTCTGTAGCTTCCTTATCTTCCTCAGCCTTCATAGAATTAGACTTGAAGAACTGAGGAACAGAATTGTTAGAGCCTTGCTGTAGATTAGTCTCTGGCTTAAGGGAATGTTGTGGATGTTTTGATATATCTAGACCACTAAAACTTTATCCATGTCAACAATCAGGTGGTTTCACTTTCTTATCATTCATGTGTTCACTAGAGTAGCATTTTTACTTTTCTTCAAGAATTTTTCCTTTGCATCCACAACTTGGCTAACTGTTTGGTGTCAAGAGGCCTAGCTTTCAGCCTATCGCAGCTTTTGGCATGCCTTCCTGACTAAGCTTGATCATTTCTAGCTTTTGATCTAAAGTGAAATATGTGTGACTCTTCCTTTCAGCTGAACACTAGAGGTTATTGTAGAGTTATATTAACTGGACTAATTTCAGTATTATTCTTTCTCAGGAAATAGAGGGGCCCCGGGAGATGGAGGGAGATGGGGGAATAACTGGTTGGTGGAACAGTCATAACACATACATTAATTAAGTACATTGTTTTATATTGTCACACTTTGTGGCACCTAAAGACAATTACAAAAGTAACATCAAAGATTACAGGCCAGGCATGGTGGCTCATACTTGTCATCCCAGCAATTTGGGAAGCCGAGGCAGGTGGATCACTTGAACTCAGGAGTTCCGGACTGGCCTGGCAACATGGTGAAACTCTGTCTCTACAAAAAATACGAAAATTAGCCAGGTGTGGTGGCATATTGTGAGAATTACCATAATTGAAACAGAGACAGGAAGTGAGAAGATGCTGCTGAAAAGTGGCTTTGGTAGACTTGCTTGTCGCGGGGTCACCACACATCTTCAATTTGTAAACAATGCAATATCTGCAATACATAATAAAATGAAGTATGACCGTATGTATAGCTTGGAATGTAAAACAAAAGAGGACTAAGAAGAAATTTCTCTTGCCCAGATGTGTTGCTCCAATAAGTTATATTATTAAGTAGCTATAAATCTAAGATGTAGTAATCAATGAGTATATTGTTACTATGTGGACAAGACATAAGTGCCAAAGCATCTAGCTGCAGCTTAACAGATCCTTAACCAAGCCCACATACAAACTGTATTTTTAGCAATTATGTTAGAAACTATTTAACCATCTGCTTTCTTTCTTTCCATACTGCTGATTTTATTGTGGGAAGCATTGGTCAGTGTTTACAGATACCACAAACCATTCTAAATAATTTAAACATGAAAAGATTCAATATAAGATTTTTGGAAGGATTAGGTAAATAGGTTAGAGATGGAGATTCCAGGAACACCACCATAGACCTCAGTTAGCAAAAGGGTTGCTTCTTCTGCCATGGAAAGAAGGTCAGGAATTCGAGAAGACACCACCACCTCTGCTGGCTGTACCAAATGCACGTGCTGTGATCTCAGAATCATGAGGCTGCCACGAGGAAGTCATGATTTCCTATGTCTTAAATCTCAGCAGTCACAAAGCTAAGGACTCCACACAAGAAATCCTCTATAGTTTCTGCAGGAAAAGCAAAAGAGAAAGAGAGAGATAAATGTTTTTAAGACTGTGCTGTGCTGTATAGGAGAAAAGCTAATAGCAGCAAAAATGTGGCCACCATCTTATCTTCCACTTCAACTTTTCAAAGTTCACACATCGCTTCTGAAGGTGAAACCTAAATGGGATTGTAGCCTGGCTGCAATCAATGTTCCTTACCTCTCTGAGTACTGAAAGGTAAACTAGAAGAAAGTTGGAGCAGATGAGTAACTCAATCCAGAATATATACTTACCTCCCCTCCTATGCCCTTAAAGATTAGTTATGTTGCCGGGCGCGGTGGCTCACCCCTATAATCCCAGCACTTTGGGATGCCACTGCAGGCAGATCATGAGGTCAGGAGTTTGAGACCAGCCTGGCCAACATAGTGAAACCCCATCTCAACCATAAATACAAAAATTTGCCGGGTGTGGTGGCACTTGCCTGTAGTCCCAGCCACTCGGGAGGCTGAGGCAGGAGAATCATTTGAACCTGGGAGGTCGAGGTTGCAGTGAGCCAAGATCGGGCCACTGCACTCCAGACTGGCAACAGAGCAACACTCCATCTCAAAAAAAAAAAAAAAAAAAAAAAAGAAAAAAAAAAGATTACTTATGTTTTGCTAGGAAGAGTGAACAGTTAATTTATAAGGTCAAAACAAATGCATAGATGCTGTGACTCTACTCTAATGAGCACGCCTCTCTCTTCATTCCAATTTAGGACTGAAGAAAATTCCTGATTCTTTCCTGCTGCTTTCTGAACTATTCTGAACTGTTTTCAGGAATTGCCCTTCTACCCTTCCATTAATCCAAAACTAACTTTGCTTCCAATCTCATTTTAAGACCTCTTATAAAAGCTTTCTTGATAATCCCCTCAAAATAGCAATAGTTTTATTATTTGAATTCCTAATTCCCCAGCAGACTATGGTAAACTGTTCTATGCTTAATCAAAAGAACTTGACTTATTCTGTTCTAAAATCATTTCAAATATGTTAAGCCTGTCCTCTCTATTTAGATAATAAAATTTTAAAAGACTATATCATATATTGATTCCTCCTTTCAGATCCCAGAAAAACAGTTGCTTACTTAAATTAATAAGCAGATTTCATTTATTTGGATAAGGTAGCACCTTTTGGAAGTATCTCTAATTCTTTTATCTCAACATACAGGCTAACTAAATGGCATACAAGAGGCATTTTTCTGCCAGAGCAGTGCAGAATACCTCCACCCAGCTTCATAATTTTGCTTAACCACTTAGCAACATTCAACTACCTAACAGAATAAGAAAATCAGTTATTTAACTCAATTTCCTTTATCTCCTGCAAAGCTGAAGCAAAAAATAAATAAAATGTGTGTCTGCTCTCTTATTCATTTTTTTCTCTAATAGACATCTCCCTTGCCTTTTCTATTTGATCTAAGATAAAAGTTGTGTTTATTATAACCATAATATATAACAATTATAAATATTTTGCAAAAACAGAAAGGTACAGATGATATGAAAATCATTAACAATCCATAGAAAGTATTTTAAGCATGGAAATATATAATCTTTTAGTATTTTATTACACAATCAGTGGTAAATATAAACTCATGTATAATTATTTTAAATACTTATTTTTCTTAAAGAAAAAATATTACATGCTTATTTCTAAATCTTGGAGATTTTTTAAGTTTCAAAATTTACTTTTGAATAATGTGTAACAATATTTGCATGCTAGCATTTATTTACTTTATTTAAAGGCATTAGAGACTGTTTTTATTGTCATATATTCTGATTAGACTAATTTGATTTTATAGACCGTACATTCAAAGCAAATGTTACTGAGCTCTTAACAGATGTATGCACTCCATGGAAAGTAAATTGCTACTTTCAAAGCAAATATTTTAGGCTCACAACTACATCTATACCTCCTAAAAAAATCTTTTGTTTCTATTTTAATTTGAGCCTCCTTCAAAAAGGTTTTTATTAGATCAATCTAAGTATATTACTTGACGCTGATGCTTCTAAAATTAGGTTGAAACACCTGTCTCCTTTCTTCTCCTTTTCCTTCTTCTTTTAGATGAAGTCTCTTTCTGTCTCCCAGGCTGGAGTGCAGTGGTGAGATCTTGGCTCATCGCAACCTCCACCTCCCGGGTTCAAGCAATTCTCCTGCCTCAGCCTCCCCAGTAGCTGGGATTACAGGCAATTGCCACCATGCCCAGCTAATTTTTTTTGTATTTTTAGTAGAGACAGGGTTTCACCATGTTGGTCAGTCTGGTCTTGAACTCCTGACTTCAGGCGATACACCCGCCTCAGCCTCCTAAAGTGCTGGGATTACAGGCATGAACCACTGTGTTCAGCCTCAGGACATTTTTCTAAAGCACTTTCCACAAAACAAAGACAGAGCCTTTACAGCTAAATGCAAAACTGACATTTGGAAGTGGGAAAAGAGTGAATATTATAAATCTGTGCCTTGATGAACAGACCAGGTGAAATAAAATGATAAAAGGAAGACGAGAGTCAGACCCTGTTGTTGCCATCCAGGGAGTATACCGCATGTATCATGGCATGTACCAGTCATCTGAAAATCACTGTTAGGTATCTGGGGATGAGTTGCTGTTGGTGGCAGAAGTAATATCAGCAAAATACTTTCTTTCCTTTTTTTTCATTCTATCCACCCAATATAGCTGCATCATATTTTCTTTATTTTACTTACCTTATTTTCTAAATAAAATTACCTTTTAAAACCATGGCTTTTGTGGTTTTATTGGAGAAAGAAACTGCTTTTTCCATTTCTCCATTATGGAAGTTAGCAACTCTCTAGCCAGTATTTACAGAAAAAGGGCTTTGATTCTATTGATCAGAAGACTGTGTAAAGAATTTCTATTTTCTGTGAACCTGGGAAGAACAAGAGAAGACAAGATGAAATCACCAAAGAGAAAACAAATAGTCTCCAAAAGATTAGTCTGGACAGAAACAACCTAAAGCAGAAAGCAGCAAATATTCTACCATCTCTTCATAACCATTAATGTATATAGTGTGTACATGCCAGGAGCAGTTGGGAGATGAATTCTCTTGTTTTCTCCCCCAGTATGTACTGCAAAGACAAGGGAAAGATAAACAAGTATTATAGGTAGAAACAAACACATTTTAAATGTCTTTGGAATTACCTTATCAGTGTTATTGTTTTATTTTGATTGAAATTTCAGTTTCATTTATATATTAGAAATACATTTTATATTCCTGATTTTGAAAATAATGACACATTGCTTGAGGCAATTTTTAGAATTACTAATTATTCCTGTCAAGTTGGAAAATTCAGAGTTAATATATACTATATGACTTTACAGCAACTTATTAGCTAGGTAATATAATTATCAATTTTTGAATGCAAAACTTATTATATGAAGAAGTTCAGTATCTTACCAAAAGTCACACAGCTACTAAGGGACAGAACCAATATTTATAACAACTCATTGTTAAAAATCTATATTAGGTCGAGAATACACACAATTGCATGTCAAGAGTACATGCATGTATTCTATGGAGAAGCATGTCTTCAATGTTCCAAAGAAGGTCCATGGCGGCTGGGCGTGGTGGCTCATTCCTGTAATCCCGGCACTTTGAGAGGCCGAGGCGAGTGGATTACGAGGTCAAGAGTTGGAGACCAGCCTCGCCAACATGGTGAAACCCATCTCTACTAAAAATACAAAACATAGCTGGGCTTGGTGGTAGGTGCCTGTAATCCCAGCTACTTGGGAGGCTGAGGCAGGAGAATCGTTTATCGTTTGAACTTGGGAGGTGGAGGTTGCAGTGAGCCGAGATCATGCCCTTGCACTCCAGCCTGGGTGACAGGGCAAGACTCCGTCTCAGAAAAAAAAAAAAAAAAAAAGAAGACAGTCCATGGCTACAATTCCACAGAATATGTACTGACAATTGAAAAAAAAAAAATGTAGGATATGCAAGTAAACAAGGCATTATGATCAAAGGTCAAAAGACAAAAGAAGGGCAAAATTAGAACCAAATACTGTTTAATGAGAAACAAAACAGCACGCATTTTTTAGTATGTTTAAGGTTATTAAAATAGTATCAAGATGAATGTATGAGAAGGACAGAGTATTAAAATTGAAAAAGGATATATGCAAAAAATGAACACAAGTTGTTGAAATTTAACATCATAAAATGGATTAGGTAAATTAGCTAACACATTTATCACAACTAAAGGACATATTAGTGAACTGTAAGATAGGTCTGAAGAAATGTCTGACAATTATTATAAAAATGAAAATATGGTAACTCATTTTACTAAGTATTAACATATTATCTAAGTTCTAGGATAGAATAGGATTAATGATTAATTAAGTGAGGTAACATTTTTTAAAAATGATAGCTGACAGCTAGTACAATAAGACAAGCAATGGATATAAAAGATACACAAATTGAGAAGGAAGAAACAAAACTGTTTTTGTGTACAAATGCCATGATCGTCTATATAGAAAATCTAAAAATATCAAACAAAAAATACCTTTTAGAACTAATAAACAATAATAGGAAGGTTGCAGGATACAGCGTTTACAAAAGTCATTTACTTTCCTAAATAAAGTACTAGCAATAAACAAATGAAATTTAAAATTAAAAATGCAATATCATTTGTATTAGCAGCCCTAAAATGAAACAGGTATAAATCTAACAAATATTTACAAGATCTATATGAGAAACTGGATACTATATGAAATATCAGTATCCAGAAGGAGGGATATGATAAGAAAAGGGAAAAATGTTCTGAAATGCAAGAAAAAAATAGTAGGCAAACAAAATAAAAAATATGAGATCAATACAAACAAACATGGAGGGTATATATATTGGCAGTAGACAGATATAGTAAAACTACAACGTGACTAAAGTATAGGTCTAGAGCTACTGGTACAAGAGACAAGAGCAGAGAAAGGCAGAAATGGCTCAATTTCTCCATTAGTGAGACAAAGGTATTTATGATTTTCTATCCCAGTGGTTTTCCTGGTGATGAAGGAAACCATGCATGTGGTTCCACTTAAAACCCAGAGGATACAATAAATGTTCAAATTATTTATGCTATGTTGGTCAGCTTCTAGGTGAAAAAAATACATTGAGCCTTTAAACAATTGCAACCTCCATGAGTCATTTTTAAACAAATTCTGTATTCAGGGAAGACACACTTATTCTTGGTACTAGGGTTCAAAATGGAAAAATAAAATTAAAATCCTCAACAATTTAACCTTAACTGGTATAAAAGAGTGACTTATCACATAGGCTGAAGGATAAAGGAAAGGGGAGTAAAATCATCGGCAGAAAGAATCAACAGAAATGAACATCTTTCATCAGAAAATGAAAATTATAAAAAATAAGATGTTAAATCTATCATTTGCTCCCCTTCTGATTATAAAACACATTTTACACTAAAATCTCATCACTATTCTCTCATGGAAATGAAAATAAAATTTATATAGTTGTAAATAGCATCTTGGATAGCCTGATATTCTTTACAAAATAGGTATACTGAGGCATCTGCTGTTGTTACTCACATAGCATTTTAAGGATAGCTCATAAATTAGCAGGGATATTTCAAAATAGGAAACTGGAGCACTGAACAAAAGCATCAGAAAACATTAAGCTGTATCAGGCTCACGGGAAGTATTTATGGTGAAGAAGTGGCTATGTGTGTGTGCATCTGACTAAAATTGGAGATGAAGCCGAGCATCTCACTTTTCTATTTTATGTTATAAACTGTACTATGTGGTTGAGAATTTAAGAAGCTTAAGATGAATGTGTTGAGGAAGAAGAAGGATATGATGTTTTAATATCTAACATGCTACAGAAACCTGAAATGTGTTAAAATTACACATTACTCTTACCATCTGCTATGTTCATATAACATCAAGTGACTATCAATTTTTTCATACTTGAAATTGTTTTACCCTCCAGTGAGTTCTTGAAAGCAAGAAAGAAAAGTGTTTATTGTTTCTTTGAAACTTACTGAAATTGTAACTCCATGAATTGTTTTAAAATAAATTTACATACAAAGATATTTATTGTATCACTGCTTATAATAACAAAAAAAAACCCATCTCCAAACGAAAACAAAACATAAAATTACTTACGTGTTCATGAAAAGGATGTAATATGTCTATACAATAAAATACCTCATAGTCTCTGAGAAGAGTAAAATAATTTTATAAAATTTGATTTGAAATTAATAAGTTGATAAGTGAAAAAAGTTGCAAAATAATAGGTATTATACATATGTACCCAACACTGAGTTTATGTTTTAGCAAATTTTGTTACTTGCTTCCCCAATGCCCATTCATCTTCCCTTTTGCAATAATATCCTAAAAATTATTTGAAGAAGACAGGGAATGAGTACTCCTTTCCTATGGTGATTTGTTAACAAATGGACATATGATCAAATTCAGACAATATGTCCCTAAGAAGACTCAATTGCAGGATTATATATTGTTGGAAGTATTAAATAAGTAAACATTCTCTTTTTGACTCGATATAGAATATATCTAGAGTAGATACGGTATTGCATATGGGTACTAATAGTAGCATTGCCGTGGGAACTGATAATAGTCATTTCACTCTCACGAAGTGAAAGCCTACAAAGAAGGGGGCCAACCAGAGTGGAGCTAATAAATACACAGAGAAAAACAGAGTCTGGACACCCATGTGAGCTACTGGACCAAACCTCAGCTCAAGTTAGTCTCTGTTCCCCACTTGGTTTCTGTTGACATCCTGGTGAGGAAGAATGGCACCTCATTACAGCTGGGCAAGGATGGATGGGAGTTCAGGCTCCCACTAGTCCTCCACTCTTGCCACCCTGGCTGGGTGGGCTGCCTCACATTGCTCCCCTCATGCCTCTGAATACATCAAGGAGGTAGGAAGTCAGGTATCCTGGAAGGTCATGAAAGTCCAGGTTTCCCACATGGCCTTTTCTCACCCCAATCCAATGGGGAAGAGGATGAACAGATTTTTACTGCTGAGTGGGAGTGGAAGTCTAGGCTTCCCATGTGCTCTCCACCAGGGGGATGAAAGTCTTCAGTCCCCACTTGGTCATCTCTGACACCACCCAGGCAGGAAGGGGAGGGATGTTTCTTCATATCCTGGTAAGAATGAAAGTCTAGGCTCCCATTCACCTTCACTGAGAGTTTGAGGAGTGAGACCACACTTTGTTTTCCTGTGCTAAGGTTGAAGTATGGCAATTATTGTCTACGTATTTTCTCTATTGCTAGGCTGCTCTTTTCTGATCTTTGAATGGAGAGAATGGGATTTTCCTGGGGCTTTTTTACTCTCATTCATTGACATTTGGAGGTTAGTGACTTTTCCTGCACTGACTCTGTGATAAATGAAGCAGAAGAAAACCAAGAAAATCTACTACCTGTTCCTTGTATCTAATGTTCTTGGCTGCTCTATCTTCTTCTTTTCACCTAACATAGATTTCTTCTGTTGCTTTGTATATAATGTCCATGAGTTTTAGCTATAATTAGCAAGAGGACAAGTGAAAAGTGCATTTACACCCTGATGTGGAAGACCCTATTAGTATGATTTTACTTCTAAGTTTATTGGGGTTGTCTTTATTGTCCAGTTTGTCTTAATGATTTTTCCATTTGCCTTTGAGTGGGATGCACATTCTTTGGTTGTTGGCTGGAGTATTCTATACTGTCAGTGGGGCCAATTTTGTTACAGTTTTGTTTAGACTTTCTGTATCCTTATGAAATTTCTTGTAAGGGTATAATTCAAACAGTCTCTCAATCAAACAATATAACTAAGAAACTTAAGGATGTTGTTCTGTAGCAAAGGGATAAGGTAGAGAAGTTATTATCCTGAAGACATTTGTGGGTATGGCTTTTGTCTAATGAAGTGAATCCTATTAATATTCAAAGGTGATGCATCAAATCTTTAAGAAAAATCATAGATGCAGAAACATAGCTTGATGAAAAAGAGACAGAAACAGTACAAAATGAAAAGAGACTTTTGGAACCCTAAATATTGACAAGCCAGCAACAGGCTAAAGCAACTACTCATCGAAAAAGCCTGGGCTGCATTTCGTGGCAAAGGAAGGGTGACTTAGATGGCAAAGCAATTGGCTACCGGGAAGGACCAAAAGCTCTGAGGGTGGAGTTGAATGTTCTGAAGAATCATTTCCAGGAAGTAACAGGACTGAGTCCTAATCAAGGAACTTCCTACATTTGCCTGGATGAATTTCAAAATTGCTATGGATCTGTGACTCTGTGCTTCACATATTCTCCCTTTTGAAACTGCAGTCTGTAGTGGTTAGCATCATTTTTTGTTGGGTGTATAGGAGCAGATACCGTGTGTATTTCACAGACTTGCAGGAGGAACTCTATTTAGGGAGCAACACATAAGAAGCTTCATGTGGCAGATGCACCCTCATCTGGACTTGATTTAGATAGGATGATACTGCAGGTTTTTCTGACATGGTAATGGGATAAGATTTGGTGAGGGACTGGGGGACATGGCAGGATGTGAGGGTATTTTGCATGTGGGAGAAACTTAGATCTTTTGGAGCCAGAGGGTAGACTCTGGTAACCAGCCTTTCAGACCTGCTTTCCAGGCAGCCCCTCTCCACCACTGCGGTCTCTCTCCCTCTTCTCTCTCTTTCACTCTTTCTTCCTCTCTCTGTTGTTGGTTCTTATTCTCTGGTAAAACTACGTCATAAGCAGCACATGGAGAGCCCTTCATGGTGAGGAAATAAAGTCTCCTGCCAATGGCCACATGAGTGAGCTGGGAAGTGGCACTTCCAGATAAGACAGTAGCCTCAATCAGCAGCTTAACTCCAAGCACAGAATCGATGCTGAGTCACAAGTACTCAGTTAAGCTGGTCTCAGATTCCTGAGTCTAAGAACCTCTGTGAAATAATATTATTTTGTTTGTTTTCATCTGCTCATTTCTGGGTAATTTGTTGTACAACAATAAATAAATAATACACCAGATATTCTCAATTTCTATAACCAGAATGATGTAAAAAGAAGAGTGCGAGACTTTTGTCCATATACTTATTTCTATGGGACTGTTCTTATGAGTGTTTTCAAAATAGATATGTGAACCCGCCCCCCAAACTGTCATTACATCTGTAAGTGTGATTGTTTTCTGAGCAAAAGGCAAGCTTTCCCTAATTTGGTGGCATGATTCTTTGGGTAAGACATATGGTTCCAGCAGAAGTCTGTGTGGTATTGAAATCTATATGCTAAACAGTTCTGTGCTTCTGCTTTGCCTCTGGTGATATTGGTAACTGAAAGAAGTGAAGGGCTAATCTCTAAACTCGCTGTTGCCATGCAACACAGACCATTGGCCTTATCTTTTATTTTCTTACATTTTTGTCCATTACCTCTCAATTGCTGTGCTAAGCTAAAAAAAAATCAGAAATCCTTCTACATAGGTGTTTGTCTGCTTTTCTTGACAAGTAATAATTTGAGGTTCATGTAAGGTGACCCATTTAAGGCAGCCCTTGTTGAATAGCCCAGTGATTTAAATGAGGTCTGTTGGAAATGGATCTTTGGTTCCAAATCGGTATGCCACTGCATTGTGACTTAGTTTACAGCACTTCTTCCTGTTTTAATTCTCTCTTTCTTTTTCTGAATTCCAATCAGAACAAGAACTAGGGCATATTTCATAGTTTACAATTAATTCTGATATCTTTAAAGGGTTTTAGAGTGGGGCTTTTTTTTCCTCTTTGCTTTAAGAGAGAGTAGAGATTGTTACCGTTATGCTTCATGTACTTTTATCAAAACAGAGAGCCTAACCTAAATTATCTTTCTGGCAGGTATTTCAACAGTCTCTTTTTAATGTTCTACTTGGCAGCATTTGTTTTATGGACATACACTGCCCTCTATAAAGATGTACTGCTTATGTTTCCTTGGACAGAGAAATGGAAACAATCTCTATAAGGCACATACAACAAGAAAGTATTTCTTTAATGTATTTTACTACCTTTTTAGAAAGGAAAATAGATGGCTAGCTATTGACTTTTGTTCTTGTTTGTGCTTTTTGTTTTTGTACTACAGTCTTTTAATAGCAACATTCTATCTTCTACTTTGTATCTTTTCTCCACATCTGGCTGTTCACCATTTATATTCAGAATAGATGGAAGAAAAACTTGTAAGTCATTTAACCTTGTTTGCCTAATATCTTTCCTTGATATTGTGTATTAGCTTATGTTATATTAAAAGGCTTTTAATATTATAGACAAGGAAGTACTTGTTTAATTCAGTTTTCAGAAAGCAGAAGGGGCAGTTGCTCTACATCTTAGAAACACGGAATGGAGTGCTTGAATGTAAGTGTGTAATTACACAGCTATGACATCACTATTATACTTTACTATGGAAAAGAAAACATGTTACACCATTAGGATGTACCTCCTCCTGCCTCTTCTTTTCGCTCCTAACTCTCTTAGGAAACCTAGTTGCCTTTATTTCCATTGCAAACAGTGGTCAATATTGAAAGTTGGAAGATGTGGGCCTGGATGTCAAAAAACTTAGCATTCCACTGTGGCACAGGTTCATCCCTCCTTTCCAAGTAGTACTCCTACTGATAATCAGGATTAGAGAGAGAGAAGCCTTCTGGATAGGGTAGACTTCAGGGCACAGTTGCTGGAAGTTGTATTAGTCCGTCCTTGCATTACTATGAGGAAATACCTAAGACTGGGTAATTTATAAAAAATGGAAGTTTAATTGACTCATGGTTCTTCAGGCTATACAGGAAGCATGATGACTTCTGGGGAGGCCTCAGGAAACTTTCAATCACGAAGGAAGGCAAAGGAGAAGCAGGCACGTCTTACATGGCAGCAGCGGGAGGGAGAGAACGAGTGGGATGGTGCTACATACCTTTTAAACAACCAGAGCACATAAGAACTCACTCATTCTACAGTCCCAGGGGAGATAATACTAAACCATTAATAAGAATTCTGCCCCCATTATCTAATCACCTCCCACTAGACTCCACCTTCAGCACTGGGGATTACAATTCAACATGAGATATGGATGGGGGCACAGATCCAAACCACATCAGCAGTTTTCACTCCACACTTTTCTCTGCCTGATGCCTTTCCAGATATTTCACTAACAAAACAAAGTACACCGTGACTAAGTACATATTAACAGTCAAATCTATTCTGTAAGGCATCTCCATGTTCTGGGAAACATTCTAAGAATACACAAGGTATATGCTATGTGTTAACCAATCATAGGAATGAGGTAGGAGACCGGCAAGACTTATTTCCTGGTCCCGACAGGATAAAAGGAAGAAGCCAGGTGGAACTAGGGAATGATGCCAAAGGCAACCTCTAGTTGCCCTAGCTGCTCATCAGCATAACACACTCCCACCAGCGCCATGACGGTGTACAAATGCTGTGGCAACACCTGGGACTCCCTGCCTCTTTTCTGGATGTTTCTGAATAACCCTCCCCTTAATTTGCATGTAATTAAAAGTAGGTATAAATACTGCCAGCCAGGAGCCCCTATGCTGCTAACTCTGGGTGCACTGCCTATGGTTTAGCCCTGATCCACAAGGACCAGTCACTGAGCTGTGCACTGCTGCTTCTACTAACTTGCTTTCTTCCACTGCTGGCTCACTCTTGAATTCTTTCCTGAGCAAAGCCAGGAACCCACCCATGCTAACCCCCGCTTTTGGGACTCGCCTGCCCTGCATCAAGAACATCAATAAAAGAAGAAGAATTCTGAATGCCAAAAAAATGCTACTGCTCACTTTTCCTCAAACTGTCTATGGTGAAAGGTGAGTGTTTGTTGTTTACTTTTAATTTACAGTTCATTGTATGTGGATTGAATTTAAAAATGTAATTCTAAAATATAGTAAAATAAAACACACAAAAAAGGGAACACACAAGCCTGTTGATATGTTATAGCTTTTCAACATTTTCTCTCAATGTTTGCCTTTATTACAAACTCTTAGGAGTTTGTGGATTGGCATTGGTCCACAGAAGACACTTTGAGTAGCATGACAAGTACTGCTCTGAAAAAGATGATGCAGCTGGAGCCCCAAGTCATTTTTATAAGGACATTTTCCTCAATCTGTATTACAGCCCAAAATTCTTGAAGGATATTACATATTCCCATGAGTGCTATTGGCTTACTACAGAAGAGACAACTAGGATCTTTTACGGCTGTGTGTGAAGTTTGAAAAAACTTCCCATATAATTCTGATGTATTCTCCTTGTCCTGCCTTAGAACCATTGTGGTAAGAAACCACAAACAGGTAATGAGATTCTATTGTGTATAAAGCCATGTACTATACAACTATGCACACAAAGACTATGAGACAGAGACCTGAACACTATTCATAAATGTGAGAATGGGGGTAGCAGTGGGACTCATGCAAAAATAACTAATGATTCAAAGTAATTCATAAAAAGTTAATTTGTACATTGGAAGTGTACAGATTAATTATAGTGTCATAGATTTAAATACCAGTTATACCACCTCCTAGTTTTTAAATTTAGGTTTATAATCTCAAATTTATAGGGTTTTGTGAAAATTTAACTACACCGTTATGAAGGGTTAAACAAAAATAAACTTACACTAGGGAAGGGGAGAAGTAGCATAAATACATTCCTTAGAGAAAAATTTTAAAAGATTAAATTATTTTATGTGACACCTCAGATATAATACCTAGCTTTACCTCCAAGGATGTGTGTTGTTCTGCCATACATAAACACTGATAAAGAAAAGGTCAAATGTATAAGTGCCATTACGGATGAATATGTGAGATTACATACATAAAGCAAGTAGTACAGGTGATGCCATATGGTATGTCTTCAAAACATGGTACCCATGTCTAACTTTATTTAAAGTTTTTCCACCAAGATTAACCAAGTGAGATGAGCTAATTTTATATCCACATGAAATAGCACATTGATAAAGCCCTGGTTGCAATTCTGTAAATATTTTTTGATGGATCATTCATCACTTATCATTTTACAAAGTTAGACTAAAAAGATATTTTAGCAAAATTACCTTTCTCAAGATTTGCAAATATTTTTAATATAACTTCAATTAAAAAAGTAATGGCAGAGAAATGTAAGATGGCATAAAGTACTGACAGCCTAAGATAAAATGCAGCAAAATGGATGGAGCTGGAGGCCATAAACCTAAGCGAATTAACTCAGGAACAGAAAATCAAACCCTACATGTTCTCACTTATAAGTGAGAGCTAAACACTGAGCACACATGGACATAAATATGGGAACAATAGACATTCAGGACTACTAGAGGGTTAAGGGGATGGTGAGTTGAAAAACTACCTATTGAGTACTGTGCTCACTACCTGGGTGATGGGATCCATACCCCAAACTTCAGCATCACACAACATTCCCAGGTAAGAAACCTTGGCATGTACCCTTGCATCTAAGATAAAATTTGATATTTAAAAACAAAAAAATGAAAACAGGAAAAAAGTCTTAGAAACTTTAATAAAGCAAATGATAAATGGATTTGATTTTTAAGGCATCCATGTATTTCTAATATATTTATATAATTATGTATCTATTTCTAATGTTTTAAGTCAATTCTAGGTATATTTCAAGAGAAAAAAGAATTGAGAAACTAAAGATGTATGCTCAGAGAAGGAAGATTTTAGTTCAGGCTTGTGATGTTCAAAATACCTCCCACATATTTTAAGTAATACAATTTATTCATATTAGTGGCAATTGATCAGGGAAACAGTTATTCAATATTGACATATTTGGTACAACTTTCTCATTCTGGGCTCACAGCACAAAGAAGTAACATCTGATTATTAATTAAAAATAAGAAAGTACTGAACAGTATTCATTGTAAAACTGTATTTTCATTTCGAATAAAATTTGTATTTTCATTTCGAATAAAATTTATCTGCAAAAGTAATTTTTTTTGAAGCTTTGAGGAAATTAACTACTTTGGCCAAGCTAGAGTTAAGTGTAGCCGCAGCTTTTGTTATCCCTGCTTCATAATATCTAGATTTTGCTCATGTGGGTATAGTTAGAAAATGGGATCTTTTCTCACACAGGGCACTTAAAAAGAAATAGGTACTTGCTTAACAGTAAGTATGCAGATGATGACCAGAACAAAAGGTCAAAACTCGCTACCAAACTAGACTTTGGCATGATAGTCAGTCTCTAGGAGAAAGAAGAGAATATTTACAAGAAATATTCCTTGAGTCCAGGATTATAGGTGGGTAACTAAGGATGCTTGAATTCTACTTAAGAGACTACTTTTAATAATTAAGTAATTTCTAGATGTACCACCACCGTTTCTCAGCTATCGATGTAAATTGGTGTGTACCTTTTATGGAATTTGAATAGCGAAGCATCAAGAGTAGTCTTTCCCCCAAAGACTTTGTTTTGGGGAAAAAAATCTTGGTTATAACATTCATATACAAAATCATTTAGTGGGTCCTAATTATTTGAAAAACTAGAAAAAAATCTCTTTAGCATAGTTTATTTAGACTGTTTAAGCGTGATTCACAAATCTCACTTTACGTACACTCTGCCCCCACTCTTCCTTCTTGTGTACTGTCCTGGTGTCTGGGACTTCACTTGGAGAGGTAAACTGACCTAAATTGCCAACTTCATTTCTTTTTACTTATCTAATCTTAATATTTATCCATCTGCAAACAATACCTTCAGTACTTTTAATGTTTAAAATACGTTTGACAATGCAGGCATAATTGTCATGTTCTATTTCTCTAAATAGAATGTCGCAAAGGCCATATTATATACTTCTAAGTATCTCTCATAGAGCTGAGCAAAATGCTGTGTCTATAATTAAGGCACTTTCACTTATCTCAAGAATACAAGGAAAAAAATAAAGAAATGGAAGAAATGAAGGGGTTTAAGCAGTATTAAGAAAAGGAAAAGAAAAGAGGAAGTGAGAAAAAACAAGGCAAGAGAAGCAAAGGCAAGAAGGACACAAAGAAAAAAAGTAAAAACAAACTTACAAAAAAAAAGTACGTTAGAAAATAAAGAGTAGTCAACACCTCACACAAGAATAGGGTGCCTATTGCCACCACTTAGTAAAATCTTTATGAGTTAGAGGGTAGAGTAGTCACAAGGGTCTTGTCTCCGTATTGGGGAGTTATTAGCACTAAACTAAACACATCTTAAAAACAAGTTGGGTACAGTGCCTCATGCCTGTAATCTCAGGACTTTAGGAGACTGAGGTAGGAGAATTGCTTGAGGCCCAGAGTTTGAGATTAGCCTGGGCAACATAGTGAGACACCTTCTCTACAATAAATAAAAAATTTAAAAATACCCATAAGTGGTGATGTGCACCTGCGGTTCCAGCTGCTTGGGAAGATGAGGTAGGAGGATTGCTTGAGCCCAGAAGTTTGAGGCTGCAGTGAGCTATGATCACACCCCTGCACTCCAGCCCAGACAATAGAGATTAGTGAACTTGAATACGTAGCAACAGATAATGTACAAAATGTAACAAAAAGAGAAAAACAATTTAAAGAAGAAAAAGTGTATCAGTGAGCTGTGAGGCAACATTAAGATGCATTACATATAAAATTGTAGTCTTCAAAGAAAGGAGCAGTAAAATATTTGAAGAAATAATGTCTCCAAATTTTCCAAAAAGCTCTATGAAACCTAAGCAGAAGAAACAGAAAGAAAACTGTATCAAAGCACTTCAGAAACAAATTATTCAAATTAGTGATAAAAATGTTAATGTTTAAGAATTTTTTTAATTAAAAAAATGGTGAGTTAAGTATAGAGGAAAGAAAAGATAAAAATAACAGGATTTACTATCATAATCAATCTAAGCAAGAAGATAGTAAAGCATTATGTTTAAAGTACTGAAGCCATATATCTAGCAAATAGAATTTTTAAAAGAGTTAACATATGTTTCCAAAAAAGACCATGAAATCAAGAATTTTTCAGACTTAGAAACACTGAAAAAAATTATTTTTTAACAAACCAGCCTTACAAGAGACATTAAAGGAAGTCCTTTGGGCAGAAAAATAAGATACCTAATGGAAATATAGAAATGCAAAAGGAGTAAGGAACACTGGAAATAGAAACGAGAAAAAATATATTATTGGTTTTCTTGTTATGTAAATTCCTTTACAAAGTAAATAACAAAATTTTACACTAAATAACAATGGTTTGCAGTTTTTGTACTACATAAAAGTAAAATGAATGACAACAATAACATAAAGGTGGGAATTGAGAAATGAAACTATTTAATGTGAAATTCTTATACTTTGCAAGAAGAAATATAGTATCATTTGAAGACTATCTGTGAAGGATCCAATATATATTATAAACTCAGCAACTGCTAACTTTGCAAAAGAAAGAGTTGCAGCTGAATCAACAATGGAGATAAAATGGATAAATTTAAATTTTTCTCTGAAGAAAGCAAAAAAAAAAAAAGCAACATGGAGACAAGGATCATACAAGACATACAGAAAAAAATAATGAGAAGAGAGATTTAAGCCTAACCATAGCAATAATCATTAAATATAAATGGTCTAAGTACTCCAATTAAAGGTGAGAGGTTTTCAGATTAGATAGACCCATCTATATGCTGCCTATGAGAAGCATTTTCTTGTAAAGACACAAATTAGTTAAAAGTTAAAGGATATAAAAAGCTGTATCATCCGGGCATGATGGCTCATGCCTGTAATCCCAGCACTTTGGGAGTCTGAGGCGGGCAGATCACTGGAGGTCAGGAATTCGAGACCAGACTGGCCAACATGGTGAAACCCCAACTCTACTAAAAATACAAAAATTAGCTGGGCGTGGTGGTGGATGCCTATAATCCCAGCTACTCAGGAGGCTGAGATGGGAGAATTGTTTGAACCCAGGAGGCAAAAGTTGCAGTGAGCCAAGATCAAGCCATTGCACTCCAGCCTGGGCAACAGGGCAAGACTCTGTCTCAAAATAAATAAAAAATAAAAAAATAAAAAAGCTGTATCTTACTAAAATTAATTAAAGTGGAAATGATTATATAATATCAGATAAAGTATATTTTGGAGCAAAAAATGGTACCAAATACAATCATTTTATAAGAAAGGTATCAATTTTTCAAGAGGACATCACCATCCTGAACATTTTGTACCTAATAACAGAGCTTTTAAAAAACTGATAACATTTCAAGGAGAAAAAGACAAGTTTGTAATTATAGAAAGAGATTTCAATACCCCACTGTATCCCCCGACTGTATTTCAGTAAATGATAGAACAAGAATACAGAAAATCATGAAGCATATAAAATTTTGAAGACATTTGATAAATATTGGATATGGTGAAAGTTGTTATCCCACCATCCAATATTTATTGTAAATTTTCAGCATTTGAGAGCATGAATAGCAAACTTTGTTTATTGGGATATCTGTCTGCTTTGGAGAAAACAGAGAACACACTGTTATTTTATTTTTCCCCAATTTTAATCCAGTTACAGAGAGATTATGTGTCACGTTCTCCAATTTAAATAGTAGCTAAAGAAAACAATAATGATTTGAGTAGTTAAAACGAAAGACTTTTGCCAGGCATGGTGGCTCACACTTGTAATCCCAGCACTTTGGGAGGCTGAGGCAGGTAGATCACTTGAGGACAGGAGACTACGAGCCTGGCCATTATGGCAAAACCTCATCTCTACTAAAAATACAAAAATTAGCCAGGTGTCATGGCTCATGCCTGTAATTCCAGCTACTTGGGAGGCTGAGGCAGGAGAATTGCCTGAACCTGGGAGGCAGAGGTTGCAGTGAGCTGAGATTGCCCCATTGCACTCCAGCCTGGGTGACAGGGCAAGACTCTGACTCAAAAAAAGAAAAAAAATGACTTTTAAAAGTTAAGATAAGATGCTTATAAAACCTCATACTTCTCATTTTATATCATGTCTCAACATTTTCAACCTGTTTTCTCTTGTTTAGTTTATAAAACAACCAAATGAAACCTTTCAGAATATACAACTAAATCAGCAATATTACTGAGAATTTAATCCTTTTCTCCAAAGTCCTGTTCTGTGCCTTCTACACTTTCTTTACATTACCACTGCTACACTCCCATATATTTTCCCTTGTTTTTTTTTTTTTTTTTGGAAATGTAGTCTCGCTGTGTCACCCAGGCTGGAGTGCAGTGGTGCAATCTGGGCTATCTGCAACCTCCACCTACTCAGTTTGAGCAATTCTCTTGCCTCATCCAGAGTAGCTGAGGCTACAGGCATATGCCATCATGCCCAGCTAATTTTTGTATTTTTAGTAGAGGTGAGATTTCACCATACTGGCCAGGCTGGTCTCAAACTCCTGGCCTCAGGTGATACACCCACCTCGGCCTCCCAAAGTGCTGGGATTACACACCTGAGCCACCATGCCCAGCCAATATTTTCAGTGAGTCAGTTTTTAAAACCTTTTTTTGTAATCAGGCACTGAAGAGTATTCTAGGATTAATTTTCTGAACCATTCACCAAGAAATGCAGGATTTAGAATTTGTGGGTTTTGTTAGTAAAAAGTGTATAAGTTTGAATGTTTCTACGTTTATGTATGCATGTGTGTACATGTTTTTGCGTAGCTAATCTCTGAATACATTGACCAAAATCTCTTAAGAATTACTATTTCTTTGGTTATATTTGAGTACTGACAGAGTTCACCAATTTTTTTGTTATTTTCCCTTCAGAAAGGAGTTGATACTATATTTAACTCCATAGTCAAACAAATTGAGACATCATTGTCAAATTAAATGTAAAACAATAAAAATTTGGAGCTTGTGCTTTGAGAAAGGTGTATAGCTAAGAAATGGTATTTGTGTAATTCCATTTATAATTTATGTTTGTCTTTGTGACTTTTAAAGGATAGAGCAATATACAGAGAGATATTTTTATATATATAAAAGATATATATATGAACATCTTTTATAGATATATAGGTAAAAGATATCTCTATCTCTGTCGGTCGATCTATCTATCTACCTATCTGTCTATCTGTAAGTTAAAACATCAACTACAGAGAGGAGCCAAGATGGCCGAATAGGAACAGCTCTGGTCTACAGCTCCCAGCGTGAGTGAGGCAGAAGACGGGTGATTGCTGCATTTCCATCTGAGGTACCAGGTTCATCTCACTAAGGAGTGCCAGACAGTGGGTGCACGACAGTGGGTGCAGCGCACCGTGCGCGAGCTGAAGCAGGGTGAGGCATTGCCTCACTCGGGAAGTGCAAGGGGTGAGGGAGTTCCTTTTCCTGGTCAAGGAAAGGGGTGACAGAGGGCACCTGGAAAATCGGGCCACTCCCACCCAAATACTGCGCTTTTCCGATGGGCTTAGGAAAGGGCGCACCAGGAGATTATATCCTGCACGTGGCTTGGAGGGTCCTACGCCCACGGAGTCTCGCTGATTGCTAGTACAGCAGTCTGAGATCAAACTGCAAGGCGGCAGTGAGGCTGGGGGATGGACGCCCGCCATTGCCCAGGCTTGCTTAGGTAAACAAAGCAGCCCTGAAGCTCCAACTGGGTGGAGGCTACCACAGCTCAAGGAGGCCTGCCTGCCTCTGTAGGCTCCACTTCTGGGGGCAGGGCACAGACAAACAAAAAGACAGCAGTAACCTCTGCAGACTTAAATGTCCCTGTCTGACAGCTTTGAGGAGAGCAGTGGTTCTCCCAGCACGCAGCTGGAGATCTGAGAACGGGCAGACTGCCTCCTCAAGTGGGTCCCTGACCCCTGACCCCCGAGCAGGCTAACTGGGAGGCATCCCCCAGTAGGGGCAGACTGACACCTCACATGGCCGGGTACTCCTCTGAGACAAAACTTCCAGAGGAACAATCAGACAGCAGCATTCGCGGATCACAAAAATCCGCGCAGTTCTGCAGACACCGCTGCTGATACTCAGGCAAACAGGGTCTGGAGTGGACCTCTAGCAAACTCCAACAGACCTGCAGCTGAGGGTCCTGTCTGTTAGAAGGAAAACTAACAAACAGAAAGGACATCCACAGCAAAAAACCCATCTGTACATCACCATCATCAAAGACCAAAAGTAGATAAAACCACAAAGATGGGGAAAAAGCAGAGCAGAAAAACTGGAAACTCTAAAAAGCAGAGTGCCTCTCCTCCTCCAAAGGAACACAGTTCCTCACCAGCAATGGAACAAAGCTAGATGGAGAATGACTTTGACGAGTTGAGAGAAGAAGGCTTCAGACGATCAAACTACTACGAGCTACAGGAGGAAATTCAAACCAAAGGCAAAGAAGTTGAAAACTTTGAAAAAAATTTAGACGAATGTATAACTAGAATAACCAATACAGAGAAGTGCTTAAAGGAGCTGATGGAGCTGAAAGCCAAGGCTCGAGAACTACGTGAAGAATGCAGAAGGCTCAGGAGCCGATGCGATCAACTGGAAGAAAAGGTATCAATGATGGAAGATGAAATGAATGAAATGAAGCGAGAAGGGAAGTTTAGAGAAAAAAGAATAAAAAGAAATGAACAAAGCCTCCAAGAAATATGGGACTATGTGAAAAGACCAAATCTGTGTCTCATTGGTGTACCTGAAAGTGATGGGGAGAATGGAACCAAGTTGGAAAACACTCTGCAGGATATTATCCAGGAGAACTTCCCCAATCTAGCAAGGCAGGCCAACGTTCAGATTCAGGAAATACAGAGAACGCCACAAAGATACTCCTCGAGAAGAGCAACTCCAAGACACATAATTGTCAGATTCACCAAAGTTGAAATGAAGGAAAAAATGTTAAGGGCAGCCAGAGAGAAAGGTTGGGTTACCCACAAAGGGAAGCCCATCAGACTAACAGCGGATCTCTCAGCAGAAACTCTACAAGCCAGAAGAGAGTGGGGGCCAATATTCAACATTCTTAAAGAAAAGAATTTTCAACCCAGAATTTCATATCCAGCCAAACTAAGCTTCATAAGGGAAGGAGAAATAAAATACTTTACAGACAAGCAAACGCTGAGAGATTTTGTCACCACCAGGCCTGCCCTAAAAGAGCTCCTGAAGGAAGCACTAAACATGAAAAGGCACAACCAGTACCAGCTGCTGCAAAATCATGCCAAAATGTAAAGACCATGGAGATTAGGAAGAAACTGCATCAACTAATGAGCAAAATCACCAGCTACCATCATAATGACAGGATCAAATTCACACATAACAATATTAACTTTAAATGTAAATGGACTAATTGCTCCAATTAAAAGACACAGCCTGGCAAATTGGATAAAGAGTCAAGACCCATCAGTGTGCTGTATTCAGGAAACCCATCTCACATGCAGAGACACACATAGGCCCAAAATAAAAGGATGGAGGAAGATCTACCAAGCAAATGGAAAACAAAAAAAGGCAGGGGTTGCAATCCTAGTCTCTGATAAAACAGATTTTAAACCAACAAAGATCAAAAGAGACCAAGAAGGCCATTACATAATGGCAAAGGGATCAATTCAACAAGAAGAGCTAACTATCCTAAATATATATGCGCCCAATACAGGAGCATCCAGATTCATAAAGCAAGTCCTGAGTGACCTACAAGGAGACTTAGACTCCCACACAATAATAATGGGAGACTTTAACACCCCACTGTCAACATTAGACAGATCAATGAGACAGAAAGTTAACAAGGATTCCCAGGAATTAACTCAGCTCTGCAACAAGCGGATGTAATAGACATCTACAGAACGCTCCACCCCAAGTCAACAGAATATTCATTTTTTTCAGCACCACACCACACCTATTCCAAAATTGACCACATAGTTGGAAGTAAAGCACTCCTCAGCAAATGTAAAACAACAGCAATTATAACAAACTGCCTCTCAGACCACAGTGTAATCAAACTAGAACTCAGGATTAAGAAACTCACTCAAAACCGCTCAACTACATGGAAACTGAACAACCTGCTCCTGAATGACTACTGGGTACATAACGAAATGAAGGCAGAAATAAAGATGTTCTTTGAAAACAACGAGAACAAAGACACAACATACCAGAATCTCTGGGTCACATTCAAAGCAGTGTGTAGAGGGAAATTTATAGCACTAAATGCCCACAAGAGAAAGCAGGAAAGATCTAAAATTGACACCCCAACATCACAATTAAAAGAACTAGAAAAGCAAGAGCAAACACATTCAAAAGCTAGCAGAAGGCAAGAAATAACTAAAATCAGAGCAGAACTGAAGGAAATAGAGACACAAAAAACCCTTCAAAAAATTAATGAATCCAGGAGCTGGTTTTTTGAAAGGATCAACAAAATTCATAGACCGCTAGCAAGACTAATAAAGAAGAAAAGAGAGAAGAATCAAATAGACTCAATAAAAAATGATAAAGGGGATATCACCACCGATCCTACAGAAATATAAACTACCATCAGAGAATACTACAAACACCTCTACGCAAATAAACTAGAAAATCTAGAAGAAATGGATAAATTCCTTGACACATACACCCTCCCAAGACTAAACCAGGAAGAAGTTGAATCTCTGAATAGACCAATAACAGGCTCTGAAATTGTGGCAATAATCAATAGCTTACCAACCAAAAAGAGTCCAGGACCAGACGGATTCACAGCCAAATTCTACCAGGGTACAAGGAGGAACTGGTACCATTCCTTCTGAAACTATTCCAATCAATAGAAAAAGAGGGAATCCTCTCTAACTCATTTTATGAGGCCAGCATCATCCTGATACCAAAGCTGGGCAGAGACACAACCAAAAAAGAGAATTTTAGACCAATATCTTTGATGAACATTGATGCAAAAATCCTCAATAAAATACTGGCAAACCGAATCCAGCAACACATCAAAAAGCTTATCCACCATGATCAAGTGGGCTTCATCCCTGGGATGCAAGGCTGGTTCAATACATACAAATCAATAAATGTAATCCAGCATATAAACAGAACCAAAAACAAAAACCACATGATTATCTCAATAGATGCAGAAAAGGCCTTTGACAAAATTCAACAACTCTTCATGCTAAAAACTCTCAATAAATTAGGTATTGATGGGACGTATCTCAAAATAATAAGAGCTATCTACGACAGACCCACAGCCAATATCATACTGAATGGGCAAAAACTGGAAGCATTCCCTTTGAAAACTGGCACAAGACAGGGATGCCCTTTCTCACCACTCCTATTCAACATAGTGTTGGAAGTTCTGGCCAGGGCAATCAGGCAGGAGAAGGAAATAAAGGGTATTCAATTAGGAAAAGAGGAAGTCAAATTGTCCCTGTTTGCAGATGACATGATTGTATATCTAGAAAACCCCATTGTCTCAGCCCAAAATCTCCTGAAGCTGATAAGCAACTTCAGCAAAGTCTCAGGATACAAAATCAATGTACAAAAATCACAAGCATTCTTATACACCAATAACAGACAAACAGAGAGCAAAATCATGAGTTAACTACCATTCACAATTGCTTCAAAGAGCATAAAATACCTAGGAATCCAACTTACAAGGGACGTGAAGGACCTCTTCAAGGAGAACTACAAACCACTGCTCAATAAAATAAAAGAGGATACAAACAAATGGAAGAACATTCCATGCTCATGGGTAGGAAGAATCAATATCATGAAAATGGCCATACTGCCCAAGGTAATTTATAGATTCAATGCCATCCCCATCAAGCTACCAATGACTTTCTTCACAGAACTGGAAAAAACTACTTTAAAGTTCATATGGAAACAAAAAGGAGCCCGCATCGCCAATTCAATCCTAAGCCAAAAGAACAAAGCTGGAGGCATCATGCTACCTGACTTCAAACTATACTACAAGGCTACAGTAACCAAAACAGCATGGTACTGGTACCAAAACAGAGATATAGATCAATGGAACAGAACAGAGCCCTCAGAAATAACGCCGCATTTCTACAACTATCTGATCTTTGACAAACCTGACAAAAACAAGCAATGGGGAAAGGATTCCCTATTTAATAAATGGTGCTGGGAAAACTGGCTAGCCATATGTAGAAAGCAGAAATTGGATCCCTTCCTTACACCTTATACAAAAATTAATTCAAGATGGATTAAAGGCTTAAACATTAGACCTAAAACCATAAAAACCCTAGAAGAAAACCTAGGCATTACCATTCAGGACATAGGCATGGGCAAGGACTTCATGTCTAAAACACGAAAAGCAATGGCAACAAAAGCCAAAATTGACAAATGGGATCTAATTAAACTAAAGAGCTTCTGCACAGCAAAAGAAACTACCATCAGAGTGAACAGGCAACCTAAAAAATGGGAGAAAATTTTCGCAACCTACTCGTCTGACAAAGGGCTAGTATCCAGAATCTACAATGAACTCAAACAAATTTACAAGAAAAAAACAACCCCATCAAAAAGTGGGTGAAGGATATGAACAGACACTTCTCAAAAGAAGACATTTATGCAGCCAAAAGATACATGAAAAAATGTTCATCATCACTGGCCATCAGAGAAATGCAATTCAAAACCACAATGAGATACCATCTCACACCAGTTAGAATGGCAATCATTAAAAAGTCAGAAAACAACAGGTGCTGGAGAGGATGTGGAGAAATAGGAACACTTTTACACTGTTGGTGGGACTGTAAACTAGTTCAACCATTGTGGAAGTCAGTGTGGCGATTACTCAGAGATCTAGAACTAGAAATACCATTTGACCCAGCAATCCCATTACTGGGTATATACCCAAAGGACTATAAATCATGCTGCTATAAAGACACATGCAAACGTATTTTTATTGTGGCACTATTTGCAATAGCAAAGACTTGGAACCAATCCAAATGTCCAACAATGATAGACTGGATTAAGAAAATGTGGCACATATACACCATGGAATACTATGCAGCCATAAAAAATGATGAGTTCATGTCCTTTGTAGGGACATGGATGAAATTGGAAATCATCATTCTCAGTAAACTATCGCAAGAACAAAAAACCAAGCACCGCATGTTCTCACTCATAGATGGGAATTGAACAATGAGAACACGTGGACACAGGAAGGGGAACATCACACTCTGCGGACTGTTGTGGGGTGGGGGGAGGGGGGACGGATAGCATTAGGAGATATACCTAATGCTAAATGATGAGTTAATGGGTGCAGCACACCAGCATGGCACATGTATACATATGTAACTAACCGGCACATTGTGGACATGTACCCTAAAACTTAAAGTATAATAATAAAAATTAAAAAAAAATTAAAAAAAAAAACATCAACTACAAAGGTTAACAACATGAAAAATAAATTTCCTATTTCTGTGTTTTGAGTTTCCTGGTTTCTGTACTCAGGGACAAAACTTTATCTATGCCTCAATTTTCTCAACTATAAAATTGAGATAATTACCACTTTCATCCCATTGATTTAAATTATCATTTGGTGTAACTTTCTTCCAGCTTGAAGAATTTCCTTTAGGCCACATCTTCTGACAATGAAGTATTCCAATTTTTATCAGAAATATCTTTATTTTACTTTTCCTTTTAAAAGGTATTTCTCTCGATAAATAATTTTCCTTTTACAGTTATTTTCTTTCAGCATTTTAAAGATGTTCCACTCTCATTTGTCTATTAATGTTTCTGATAAGTCATTCCTAATTTGAATAACTCTTCTCCTATTTGTAATATCTCAATATTCTTTGGTGACTTTCAGGATTTTCTCTTTATCTTTGGATATCAATATTTTAATATCACATGTCCAGGTATATACTTGTTATTGCATTTATACTTCTAGACTATTGTATTGAGCTTCTTGAATCTATAAATGAATGTCTGTTACCAAATCTGTAACATTTTCAACCATTATTTCTTCATGTTTTTCTTCCTTAATGTCCATGATCTGTCTCTGGTCCTTCCAGAATTCCAATCACACCTATAATAGATTTCACTCAATATTGTCATACAGGCTTCTAAGACACTTCTTTTTTTTTCTATTTTTTTCTTTAGTTCATAAGATTATATGATTTCTTTCTATCCACAAGATCATTGGTTATTTTATTTCTGCCATTGATATTATTTTCTTAACCCTTTCCAATTAGTTTTATATCAGTTATTGTGCTTTTCAGCTCTAGAATTTTTATTTCATTTTGTTTTGTTTCTATATTTGTGTTGATAGTCTGTCTCTACTTATTATGCATGTATTTTCTTTTAAATACTTAAATATGTTTATAGTAGGGTTTTTTAAAGTCCTTTTGTTTTCATTATAATGTGTAATTATCTCAGGGTTGTTTTCTTTGAATGTTTATTTTCTTGAGTATGGGTCATATATTTCTGTTTCATCATATGTTCAGTAGTTTCTAATTGTATGTTGGATTTTACAAATACTAAGTTTTATAAAATCTGCATTTTGATACATCCTCTGTAGATTTGTTTTTACAGACAGTTGACTTGGTTGGACTCAAATTCCATTTTTATCTGCTCTGAAGTGGGAAGTCAGTGAAATCTCTGCAAAGTTCGTTCAGCTTCTGGCTGCTACTTTTTCACTATACTCTTTAGGGTGTCACCTTTGCATACATAGGTTAGTATTCATTCAATGCTTTGGGTGGATTTTAAATGTAGACTTTTCGTCTTTTATGGCTCTTCCTCCTGAATACCTCCACTCTCTCATTCTTACTTGCTGGCTATTCTTTCAAATTCAATACTTTCCAACCTCAAACTAATAAACAGCATCTCTCTGCTTCTCTAGCAGAATCGAAATATGACAGTTTATCTTTTCAGATGTATGTTCCTCTAATTTCTCCCAACTTTTGGTCACTTTTCAATACCTTCAAATAGCTACTTCTTATATTTTGTTGAGATTGTATAATTTTTTTCTTGCAATAAGTTTGGCCTAGTTACTTCTCCATTTCTAGAAGCCAGAAAATTTACTCTTCCATTCCTGGAAGGCAAAGGTCTATTTCAGGTATTTCAAAATTAAAGTGACAAGTCAATTTTCACATCTTTCTTATGTGACTTGTATATAGTAAATGTGGTAATCTCTTAAAGACCAAAATGTGAGTTATTTTGCATAGTGCCTTTGTGCATGTGTATATTAAATATTTGTTGAATGCATAAACATATTAATTAGATGTTTAAGAATCATGCATTCTTATTCATTTTTTCACAAGACTAACTATTTTCTGCTACAGTCTATGACACTTGGGATATAGATTTTGTTTGATTCACTGATATCTCCTCCAGTAATATATAAAGTGATCAAAACAAGACCATTAAAATACATTTGAATTTGCCACAAAAATAGAGATTTTCATATGATCTATTGTTTTTAGTTTTCTCTGCTTTATTTTTCACTACAAAGTTAACAATATAGAATTATGACTGTTTTTAGTTGGACTGCAGTCTCTGAGCAGTTACAAGGAAAGTTTGAAAGCAAGGAATAGAGATAAAAAGAAGTTTTTTAAAATAGTAGATCCATGAAGATAATTCAAGACAATCCAGAAAATAGAGAAAGAATTTTTATCCATTTTAAAGTTTGATGGTAATTCCAGAATTTTCTCATTTTTATACTCTTTGAAAATTGTCAATTACTAGATTTAATTAAGGCAAAATGTAAAGTCAATATGTGTGCATATTTTTAAATGATAAAACACATTACAAGACTTCAATTATGACTTTAAGTTAGTTTTCTCTGCACAAATTTGCAGTGCTGGTCAGAATGGTATTTGAAGCCAGACAAAAGGGTCAGCTCGGCCGGGCGCGATGGCTCATGCCTTTAATCCCAGAACTTTGGGAGGCCAAGACAAGCGGATCACCTGAAGTCAGGAATTTGAGACCAGCCCGACCAACATGGAGAAACCCCGTCTCTACTAAAAATACAAAATTAACCAGGCGTGGTGGTGCATGCTTGTAATCCCAGCTACTCAGGAGGCTGAAGCAGGAGAATCGCTTGAGCCCGGGAGGCGGAAGTTGCCATGAGCCGAGATCACACCATTGCACTCCAGCCTGGGCAACAAGAGCGAAACTCCTTCTCAAAAAAAAAAAAAAGAAAGTCAGAGCGACTTCCTATACTTGTTTAATAATTTTTTGTGTATTTACATATATCTATATACACACACATAAAAACAGACTTAAATAAACCCATTCTGTCATTAGCCAAAGACCATATACAGATGCAAGATGTTATTGAAATAAATGAGAAAACATATGATAGGGTTACACATCAGAAATGAGTTTATTATATATTATTCAAGTATATATGATTGTTCTGTAAATCTTTTTAGTATTCCGTATACTCAGTTTTAAAGTAGAATCTCAGCACTTTTTTTTTATATGTAGCCATGGGTTAATAAGTGCTGAAAAATAGTTTATGGGGAAGGCATTTAAATTGAATACAGGAAAAGTTTTTGTTTGCTAATTTCATAATGTTTTTAGGAGACAGTTCTACAATTGCAGCATTCAGAAGATTAAAGAGACACTTTATCAGAGAGCAAGAAAATGTTAACCAGAAAACAGTACCTCAGAAGAAAATTAAATATAAAAATTCCATTTACCTTGATAAAATTTATCAGTAACTCAATGATAAGTGCAAACAAGGGAGCTAAAGATATGAAAGAGATTGTTTAAGAATTTTGGTATAGGCAATATATTGCAAAGGCAGAGAGTTAGCACAGCTCTATAAAATGCACCCCTAAGAAACAGCAAAATTGTAAAAGTAGGCATCAGCACTGATAATACTGATAATAAACTGCTGCAAGCACTAAAATGGAAGTTTAAAATTGGAGGAATGAACAAAATAATCCATAGAAAGCTGTTTGGTTTATTGAAACTGGTATGCCCTATATACCTTGGAGACATGTACCTGAAGGCCTTGAAAGATGCATTTCTTTTTTATTCTTTTATTTTTTTGATTTCCAACTTTAAGTCAAGGGGTACATGTGCCACGGTGGTTTGCTGCACAGATCACCCAATCACCTAGCATCCATTAGCTATTTTTCCTGATATCCTCCCTCCTCCCACCCCCACCCTCCAACAGACACCAGTGTTTGTTGTTCCCATGTGTCCATATGTTCTCATCATTCAGCTCCCACTTATAAGTTAGAACATGTGGTATTTGGCTTTCTGTTCCTGTATTAGTTTGCTGAGGGTAATGGCATCCAGCTACATCCATGTCCTTACAAAGGATATGATCTCATTCCATTTTATGGCTGCATAGTATCCTATAGTGTATGTGTCCCACATTTTCTTTATCCAGTCTATCATTGATGGGCATTTAGGTTGATTCCATGTCTTTGCTCTTATGAATAGTGCTGCATTGGACACACACATGCATGTATCTTTATAACAGAATGATTTATATTACTTTGGGTATACACCCAGTAATGGGATTGCTAGGTCAAATGGTATTTCTGCCTCTAGGTCTTGGAGGAATCACCACACTGTCTTCCACAATGGTTGAACTAATTTATATTCCCTCCAACAGTGTAAAAGCATTCCTTTTCCTCCACAACCTCGCCAGCATCTGCTATTTTTGACTTTTTAATAATAGCTAGTCTGACTGGTATGAGATTGTATCTCATTATGGTTTTTATTTGCATTTCTCTAATAATCAGTGATTTTGAGTTTTCTTCCGTAAGTTTCTTGGCCACATGTATGTCTTCTTTTGAGAAGTGTCTATTCATGTCCTTTGCCCACTTTTTAATGGGATTCTTTTTCTGTAAATTTGTTTAAGTTCCTCAAAGATGCTGGATATTAGACCTTTGTCAGATTGATAGATTGCAAAAATTTTTCCCATTCTGTAGGTTGTCTGTTTGCTCTGATGAAAGTTTCTTTTGGAGGCTGCATTTCTTGACCATTTTTTAAATTGTTGTCATAAGAAGTATCCTTTGTCCTTTCTAAAATCATCTATTTCAGCTGAAAAAAAGATTTTGTGTTTAAAGATGTGATTTATGTTTTTATTAAAATCATGTTTTATTTTGTAATGATGAATCCACTTTGATTAAAGGGATTTTGGTCATATTATTTGCTGCAGGGAAGTGAAATGTAAAGTTCTCAAGATTTGAAAACATAAGATTTCTTAGATCATTTACAACATAAAAGTTGCTTGATTCTATATATAGTTTCAATCTTTGCATACAGTTAGGATGTGGATTAGTTGATTGTTACTAAAATCCAGCATGATGTGTTTAAAGGTGATACAGACTTATATAGATGCTAGCTAAATCATTTGTCATGGTAGATCAGTAGGTCTTAAATTTTAAAATATATTTGCCAATGTCACCTGGGTGGAAAAATTTAGCCAAAACTTTAGGCCTCATGTGGTGGTTTTAGTGTCAAACGAATCCTACTTCTAGCACTGATAAATTGTGGAACCTGCAATTACTAACTTTATTTCTGAAAGCACTGATTATTACATTTAATAGACTTCACAATAGTACTCACATGTTAAGTATGTTGGGAGTATTAAAACTGCAAAACCTGAAAAGTGGACCACCAAATTCACTCTCTGGCGATTAGTTACTTTCCAATAATTTGTAGTTGATAACTCATTCGACCCACGTACTCATTAACAGGATCTATTTAACAATATTATGATTTTTTCAGACTTTATGATATGTTATATTGGTGTCTTTGAACAAAATAGAAATTTGGCAAGTATCTTTGGAATCCTGTACTAATCTTCCACTCTATAAGCTCCAAAACAGCATGATAACAAAATGTCTCATCCTATAGTAAAAGCAGCCCACAGCAAGGAGATGGTTTAGTATAAAACATACTTTTTTTTCTTCTAATATGTGAAGGGTTTTATCTTATATTTCAATAACCAGCTATTTCATATAGTTTTAGTAGATTATTATAATTCTAATTCCATGAGGGTTCTTTTTTTTTGTTTTGTAGCTCCTGATTTCTTTAATACCACTCTACATGGAAATTTGCATGACCAGTTTCTTTCCAGAGAGAGAACAATCATTGGATATAGCGATAGATCAAATTAATGAGGAAGTGAACGTGTTTCTCATAAATTGGCCATCATAAAAAGACTAAAAATTTCACGTGCTAGGAACAAAAAAGCTATTATGAATTATAAAAGTAAAAGAAAAACAAACATAATATGAAGGAAATTTTGTATTTAGAAAATCTCCGGAAGTTAAGTTTTGGAGTTATGGAGAAAAAACTGAACTAAGGAGTATTCCTAGGAGAAAAGAAGAGGATTTGGTCAACATCAATTTCTGAAAAAAACTTTTTTTGAAAAAAATTGTAAATGATTTAGTTGACTATTATAGTGCCTATGATCTATTTACTTCATATTTTCCAGAATTTCATTTCAAAAAAATTCAGTAGGGAAGTTATATTTGCCCTAAGCTAACTTTAAATCAGATAAGTAACTACTGAAATAGATAATTTTATTCATGAGTATTTTTTCAGTTTGAGTTAAGCCAATTATACATAATGATACATATAACACACGGTAGGATATTCTCTTCAGTCCAATATAGTAATTATATGTGTATATGTGTGTATGTGCACATTTATATGTATATTTATGCCTATGTATATTAAAACCTATATCCGTATACCTAGCTCTCTCCCCACTAAACTTACATAATGACTGAAGCCTCAGCTGCTCTGAGGGCATTTACCGCTTAAGAAACTGGGTTGTTTGATACCTGCAGCTGCATAAAACTCAACAGATAAGGTTTTGGGCAGTGATAGGTGGGGGGATTCCTACAAGATAAAATGATCCTTGAATAACTATGTTTTCATTGACAGATTAGACAAGAAAAAACAATGCCAGCAAAGAAAGGCAAAGCATAAATTTTTGTTTTCATACTAGTGTCATTTGGGAAAAGAAAAGCTTCCATAAGTACCTGTCAATTACACTGCCAGTTTTTTATTTATTTGCTATTTCTAACCTCTATGCTTATAGTCTCTGAAACACTAAGACAAATCTACAGGTATGTTGTAAGTATCAAGTAGTTCTCTTAAAAATTAATGAAACATGTAAACTAGAAATATTAAAAGCATCCAGAGGTAAACAAAGTCCAAAAACAACACTGAAGAAACAAAGCAAGAAGGAACATACAGGATGATATCTTCTAGGACTGTAAAGAAAGGAAGATATAGAAATATATAGAAGACCAGAACAACATTATCAAACAAATTTTAGTAACTGACATTTTTTCATATTTCTAGAACACAACACTCAATGATGTCAGAATGTACATTTTGCTCAAATACACTATAGAGTCCAGAAATAGTCCCAGAACTATATGGACGACTGATTTTTTTGTACAAATACAAAGGTAATTTGATGGAGAAAAGATAGCTATTTTGACAAATAGAGTAGACACAATTGGATATACTTAGAGGAAAAAGAAATAAAAAGAAAGTAAAAACAATATTCTGTCTGTAAATCAACACCATATACAAAAGGCAACTCAAAATGGACATTGCCAGGATTTAAATGTGTCCCCAAAGTTCATGTATTAGAAACTTAATACCCAATACGGAAGTGCTGTGAAGTAGGGCCTAATAAGTGGTTATTAGGTTATGAGGACTCTGCCCTTGTGAATGAATTAGTGTCAGAATCATGGGACTGTGTTAGTTGTTAAGAGAGTGGCCTTTTTATAAAAGCAGGTTTGACCCCCTCTTGCTGGCTTGTTCTATTGTGCTCTCTTACCCATCTGCCTTCCACCATGGGATAAAGCAGCAAGACCTTCACCAGATGTAGGCCCTTTGACCTTGGATGTCTTAGCCTGCAGAATGGTAAGAAAAAAATGTAATTTATTTATAAGTTACCCAGTCTGTGGTATTCTATTATAGCAATACATAAAAAACTTAGACAAACATACATGTAAATCCAAAACCTTAATAAAACTATAAATTGTTTTTAGCTAACATAGCATAAAATTGTCATGACTTTGAGTTAGGCATAAAGAGAAAAATAATTCCTCAGTACAATGGAACAAGAATATGATGAATGGCAGACTTCTAATCTGATACAATGGAAGCCACAAAGCAATGGGATGAATGACTGAAATAAAAGAAAAAATTGGACAAGAATTCTTTATACAGCAAAAGTATCCTTCATAAATGATGGGGAGAAAAGGTATTTGTAGATAAACCAAGACTAATAGAATTTATTGCTAGCAAACTTGCCTTTCAAGAAATACTATTGGAAGTCTCTGAAGGAGACATTCTAGCTAATATAGCAACAACTCTGGTTTCTGATTTTTATTTTCCCCCCTGAATTTTTTTGTAAGTATCATGTCCAGACTAAATTAATTATATCTGTCTTTCTTACGGTGCATGTTAGCTGATGTTCAATTTATTATGATTGTTATTATTATTTTAAGCATGGCAGCCTAGAAGTAGCTGTATGTCTGCATTGCAGGGGCAGGACTAAGGTGAGGCAAACAAGGAGGCTTGGGAGGAAAACTTAAAGAGGCACTTGCTCACAGTATTGTGCAGTACAGGATTGGTTCATGTGTCTGTGTGTAGTCTGGATGGTAAACTCAAAGCTAGGCAGTTTTCAATCTGCCCTGATTTACTTTTTGCTGGAACCTCTCGTATATCTTTTGGATGTGTGTCCAGTCTCCTGCAAGCCAGTAATATGTGGATATATTGAACCATCTCCAACCTTTGAAGCAAATGTGTGCAGGCTCTGTGTTCAGCCAAACATACTTAGAGTATGTCAAGCCTGTCTCTGACCATCTTGCCTCCCAGATCCTCCTGCTAAATCCCTGGTTAGTCTGTTGCTCACTTCAAATGGGACTACAATCTTCGTCTAGGCTATATTTAGGCCTTTCCCTTCCTCTGCTGGATATGGGTTTACTGTCTTCCACTAGAAATTAATTAATCCCTTTTCCAGCCTCAGAACTGCTGATTTTCTTAGATTGTCCTCTGTGATAGAATCACCATGCCAACTTAGCTGAGAGACTGGGTGAAAGGGATTGCTCCAGGCAAGAATGCTATAAACTCTGACTATTCTTGTCTGAAATTTAGTACTTTCTAATGAAAAGAAAAACCAAAAAACCTCATCTCAGCTTGCTGTACACTTTGGGCTGCCTCCCAGAGCATATAGAGTCATTTTTGGCAGTTCTATCCAAGTGTGTAATTGCTTTTGGGGAGAGGATTTGCCAGCCTCCTCACCCTGACATGCTAGAGGTAGCCTTCTTTCATTTGACCATTTGGGGCATATTTTTTTCACATATGAATTGAGCCTACTGCTGAATGTGCCAATTTCACAGAATGTGTGAAAGGATCAAATGATTATAATAGGTAGTATTTACTGATGGCTTTTTAATTCTATAAACTATTCTAAGCAATTAAAATATTTTACTGTATTTAATTCTCAAAAACTTTGAATGCTTACACACCCTAGTTATCCAATTCTAGAGATTAGAAAACTGAAGGAATTGAGAAGTTAAGTTGTCCAAGGTCAGAGCTAGTGAGAAGAGAATGGATTCAGACCACGAAGCTGAACTGTTCACTCCCAAATTCTGCTACCTAAATTAAAAATTATAAGAATAAGATTTTGCTTTTGTTGTCTTTCATATTCTATCCCATGCTCCATATATTTATAGAACTTGTCAATCACTGATTCATCTAATGATTCTTTTGTATCTGTATCAGCTCCATGTCTCAGAGTGGATGATCTGTAGTTATAAATAGAATCAGAGTTTGCAGAACAGAGGGCAAAAAGCCAGAGATTTTGATTAGGAAACTGAGGGCCACGACATGGAAATCATAGAGCAAAAGAGCACATGACCTGGTTGGTTGTCATTTTGATAAAGTGATTTTTTTCCCTTTGAGGATGGTCAGAGTTTATGAGTCATTTTCATACAGCTGTCTGAAACTTCTTTCTGATAAGCAAAGGTGTGCTGACAAGCAAATCATATATATATTTCTCCATACCACTGTATCTTCAGACTTGAGGACATAACACGTAGTGTTTTATTGTCTTATCATAATTTAATTTTTTACCAAGGTCTGACTAGATATACAGAAAGGCTATCAGTGGGAAGGATGCAATTGCAGGCTGGGTAATGACACATTTCTCATAGAGATGGATAGAACACAGAAAACAATCTCCCCACTTTATCAGTTTATGTCATGGTGTATTTCCATTGGTGGCCACATGGAGGACATGCAGTTGAAGCCTCATTTTACATACACAAATATACTCTAGATCCCTTGCAATAACAGGCATTCACCCTAAACTAGCCTGTCTCATTTGTCAACATAATGTCCAGCATAAAAAACAGTGACTGCTTTTTATTTTAAATGCCATTCATTCTGTATTTATTTGTTTTTGAAGTAAATGTCAGTTGGGGAAAACAATGCACCCGTCTTTAAGTTGGAGGTAACTGAATTATAAAGCTCTTCTGATTTCATACTGAAAGTACTTGGGCTGGATAATAGTGATGCCCAGGAGTGTACCCCTACAATCAGGCATCTTGGATTCAAATTCAGCTCTATCACCTACTAACAAGCACTGCAGTATTGGCCTCATCCTATTAATTCCCTGAGCATTGGTTTCATTACTGTCTATAAAAACACTTTTCTAACCTATCTTTTAAAGCTTTTGTAAGGGTGAAATAATATAACTTTATAAATTCTAATAATAAATGCAAAATTACTATATAATTATCAGTTAATGATATTTTGTTAATGAAAACCATTCATATGCAAGTTTCACACATATTTTTACAATGGATTGTAATAATTATGCTTGCTGTTAATATGGATTACATTAACATTATTCTTCTATAATTTTATTTTCATACTGAGACCCTCCTGATGGTCTCAAATTTAATTTTAAGAAAGAAACAACTAAAAGCAAGTTGAAATTATTTCATATGGAGGATGGGATTATTTTATTGGTGGGCCACAATTAAATCATTTTGTACTGCAAGATAATCATTACAGGCATCAGATATATCAGAGCACAAAGACAACATTCCATGAATAGGGTAGGTGAATCAGCAGAATGTAAATGGCTAAATGTTGTAGGAGAAAGAGAATGAGATTTAAAATTGAATGGAACCAAATTCAAGTCCTGATTCTGTTAATTTTTAGGCAAAGCACTTAACCTCTTTTTCCTCGTTGATTAAGTGGAGATAACAGAATTGCCTAGCATCTATTGAGTATTCACTATATACAGAGTGAATATATATAGTTTTATATAGCACTATATACAGAGTGCTATATTAAACATACATCATTTACTTTTCAGAAAAACAAAATGAAGCAAGTTCTATTAGTATGCCCACTTTACAGATAATGTTACTGAGGCTTTCTGCATTTGGGTGACTTACTCCAGATCACAAACACAGTATATGGTAGACCCAGTATCTGCATCCAGTCATATGATTCTAAAGCTGTATACTTCATAAATTAAAATATCTCCTTAACACTTTGATATGATTACATTTATATATATAATTTTATGGTTATTTATAGTTAGATGTTATTTGTAATTAAGAGGTTATATTTATACATATTTTTACATATATAGTTTATATATAATGTCTTTATAGATAATCAGCAAATGACCTGTTGAATTCTTCCAGGAAGATATCATCAAAGATTTTTAACAAAGTGAGATAATATTAATTATTTCAGGTATTGAACTATGGGTTTTTCCCCAATTTAATTGATTGGATTTCTATGGATAACATTTTGAAGCAAATGTTATCTATTAATTAAATAGATCAGTAAGAAAAGAAGTCTAAGCAAGTGAGTGACTTTCTCAATCACACAGCTACTAAGTAGAAAAATTGGGATTCATTTAAACTTGATTTTCTGGCTCTAATGTTCAGATCTTCTCACCATGCCACACTAAGGATTTAAACTATGCTCTATGGTTTATAAATGTATTATTAATAAGTTATTTCTTAACAACAAATCAAATATTTTTTTCTCCATCTTTTTTTTTAAACAGTAACTTTTTCATTATTCTTTGAACATGTGCCAAGAGTATGATTAACATATGCCCGGGAAGATGGATGAATATCTTAGTTACCAACAGGCACCTTGCTATGAATCCATAAACATTTTAAATCAGAGATATGGCAACACTTGATAGACATTCCGTTTTCAAGTGTCTATTACTGTACACATCTTTTAATCATAATTTTCTCACCGTATTACACAAAAGAATTTGTATAATACAAATTGAAACTGTCAAAATCTGATTGCTTAATGCAACATCAAAGTAAATTGATGTGGACTTGGGTGGATAAAGGGGAGAAATCCAGAAATGCCATGTGACAATATATTCTTAATAGTGAGTAAACGGATCTGGTAATCATGGCTCTTTTAATTTGTGGAAGTAAATTGCCTAGACAAGAAATCAGAAACTCAAGAAAATGTCCACATTTCCTCATAGCATAATCCTGTTTTTTTTTTTCTGCATTGGTAAACATACTGGAAAAAAATTATGACTCTGAAGTAGTTAAGAAATCAAACAGACCTGGCTTCAAATCTGATATTCATCCCTATTCAGCTGGAATAACATGAGTGAGCTGCTTAACCTTAACCTAAGTCTCATTCATAAAGTGGAAAATTGAGTTATAGTGAGAATCATATGAGACAGTGCATGTAGAGTACGGTGTCCAGTAGCTATTATTACTGCTGTTAGTCAAGATCAGGAGATTTTCCTCAATTTCACTCAGCTTCCAAATGGTAACAAGCTATTCATTGTTGGTATCTTAAAGTCTTCCAGATTGTTGGAAATCTTAGGTAAATGACTGTAAAAAATTTTTCCACTGGTTTTTCTTTGCATTTCTCTTTTTATGACTGGACTTTCAATGTTCATTATTTTGCCTTGTTATGTGGCAGATCTTTGTAGTATACATGGAGGATAGAAGTTGTGGAAAGGAGAATGATTATGAACTGTCTTTGCTTTCCAGGAATTTGTAATCTATAGCAAGAGACAAACATAAATACAATTCTAGTAGAACTGTGCTACAATAAGTTCTAAGTAATTGAGGAGTAACAGAAGAGTAACAACATGTCTGAGAGAGGAGAAAATCAGTGTGCTTGGGGGGACCTGGGAACAGTCAGAGCAGGAGTGGGGCTATGAAAGGCTGGGTCAGAAATTACCAAAAGGATATTAAAATAGAGAAAAATCACCAAGTAGGACTTAAGCAAATTTCTTGGGAAGTGAAAGATTATAGGCAGCAATAGAAAACCAAAACTAGATGTAAATTGCTGAAGAATAGAGTGCAAGGAATAGTTAGAAATAGGTCAGTTTGTGGCACATTCAGGAGAACCCAAATCAAGTAATTATTCCACAACCTATGAGGTAAAGAAAAGTCATAAAATCACTTTAGGTAAACAACTATGGTATCTTATGTAATATGTCACCTATGCTTGTTGGTATTTAAAATCTCCAATTAGTAGCACTTGAGAATGTCTTGGTGACTTATTATCTTCTGTGTTTTATAATTTTTAACAGTAAATTTGTGTTCATAAGAGGTGATTACTCAATTTTTATATCATTTTTGCCCCCAGAGAATTGTTCATGGCCTGAAATAATGAAGGCAACATGCACTGAGGAGTGATTCTGCATTGTCTCTATAGGGTGCATGGGATAATTGGTTCTGAGTAAGTTTTTTTGTTAATAATCTTAAGTAATAATGTTTCCATTATGTAAATAGTATTGAAGTCTGACCCATTACCTCTTCATAGGTAAGAGTGGGAGCCCTATTTCTAACTATGGCTCTCTTTTGTATTTTATCTCCAGACCAGTGAGAGGAGGCTTTCTAGACTGTCTTACAGAAGGGACAGTACTTCTTGGGTTTTCAGTGAAGGCAAAAATCTTAGAATCTATTCCTCATGATGCAGAAGCATAAGGTCACTTTCTGATTTTCATTTGCTTGTTGAAACCTCAACTCTTGTAGGCTATATTATCTTCTGATGCTCCAGTGGGCTGCATGTCACTGGTTGCTCACAATTATGGTTTCAATTCTTCTTTTCTGGTATATAAATACTTCTTTTTATTTGCTTTTCAATGGCGTATTGGGATATATTTCACATATTCATACCATTCGCCTATTTAAAGTATACAATTCATAAGTTTTATTTTATTCATGAAGTTGTGCATCCATCATCACAATCAATTTTAGAATATTTTTTATTACCCCAAAAAGAAACCACATATCTATCATCCATTTCCCTCAATCCTTCCGTCTTCTACAGCTGTGGAAAACCGCTAATCTACTTTACTCCGTATACATTTGCCTATTCCGAACATTTCATACAGATGGATATATTCCATACGTGGTCCTTTGTAAGTGGTTTCATTCACTTAGCATAATTTTTTCAAGGTTCATCATGTTGGAGTATTCATCAGTACTTATTTCTTTTTGTCAATAAATAATATTCAATTGTGTGTTTCCACCATTTTCTTTATCCATTCATTAGTTGATAGAGATCTGTGCTGTATCCATTTTTTTCTATTATGAATAATGCTGCTATGAAAATGAACGTATACATTTTTAAGTATTTATTGTTGTTATTTGCCTGGGGAGTGGAATTGCTGGGTCAAATGATAACTTCATGGTTATTATTTTATGTCACTGCCAGACTTTTTTCCAAAGTGACTACTAGTTTACAATCTTTTATTACATATATGGTTGTAGTTGTTATAACTTTCTGATGACCCTCTTTTCATTCTACAATATGTTTTATCTTTAACATTTTATAATTTTTTAATTTAAAATTTATTTAAAAATTTAAATCAGTTTTGCCTGATGTTAGCATAGCCACTCCAGTATAATTTTCTTCCTTTGAGACAGGGTCTCTCTGTTTTCCAGGCTGGCTTTGAACTCCTTGGATCAAGTGATCCCTGCTCCTCAACCTCCCAAGCAGATGTGACTACAGGCATGCACCACCATGCCTGGATACGCCACCTCAGTATTTTTATGTTTGCTCTTTGTATTATACATCTTTTTTCATCTTTTATATTTAACCTATTCATGTATTTGAATCTAAAGTCTGCCTTCTGTAGACAGCAGACAATAGGATATATTTTTGTTTTTAAATCCAGTCTGATAATTTTTGCCTTTTCATTATTTTATCCCTTTACATTTAATGTTATTATAATATAGTTGAATTTTTATTTACCGTGTTACTTGTTTTCTATATGTTTCATGGCTTTTTTGTTCCTTTATTTCTCTTTTACTGTTTGTTTTGCATTAAGTAAATATAGTAAAATATTTTAGTTTATTTAATGAGTTTTTCACAATATTCTTGAGTTATTTATTATTATTATTATTATTATTATTATTATTATTATTATTTGAGACAGGGTCTTGCTGTGTCACCCAGGCTGGAATGCAGTGGCTCCATCATGGCTCACGGCAACCTCCACCTCCTGGGCTCAAGCCACATCCTTCTACCTCAGTCTCCCCAGTAGCTAGGACTACAGGCATGTTCCACCATGCCCAGTTGATTTTTAGATTTTTTGTAGATACAGGATTTTGCCATGTAACCCAGGCTCAAACTCCTGAGCTCAAGCAATCCTCCTGCTTTGGCCTCCTAAAGTTCTGAGATTACAGGTATGAGCCACCATGCCTGACCTTCTTGAGTTAATTTTGAGGGATCTATGTAGGGTTTATAATATACAACTTATCAGAATCTATTTTAGATGTATACTAATTTAATCCAAGTGAGATTCGAAAACATTACTTTACTCCTATCTCTATTTCCTCTTCTCTTTTTGTGATATTATTATTAAACATATTATTTCTAATTGTATTACAGAAACAACATAAATTATTATAATTATTACTTTATATAATTTGATGTCTATTAAAAAAGCTGAAAAAAGAAAGGAGTGCAGTATATATTTTTGATGCTATCTATGCCTTCTTATTTACTATTTCTAATTTTCTTATTTTATCCTGTATATATAAGTTAATATCTTGCTTCCACTCACGTCCTTTATGTTACTGTTAAATATTTATAAAAATTTTAAAAAGGTTACTAAAGATAAATGATATTTTAGAATAAAAAGGGTCAATCCATCAGCAAGTTATAACGATTATAATCATACATAACCATATATAAAATAGACAACAGAGTCTCAAAATACATGAAGAAAAAGCCAACAGAACTGAGGAGAAAACTAGACAATTTGCCATACTACTGGAAGTGCTAGCCAGAGCACTAGGGCAAGAAAAAGAAATAAAAGACATCCAAATAGGAAAAGAGGGCAAACTATCTCTCTTCATGGATAATATGATTCCGTACGTTGAAAACCCTAAAGACCCCACTAAAGGGCTCTTAGAACTGAAAATGACCTCATCAAAGCTTCAGGATACAAAATCAATGTACCAAAATTAGCATTTCTATATACCAACAACATTCAAGTTGAGAGTCAAATCAAGAACACGATCCCACTTATAATAGTCAGAAAAATACAATATGATAGAATATAATACCTCGGAATACGTCTAACCAAGGAGGTGAAAGACCTCTTCAAGGAGAACTATAATATACTGCTAAAATAAATCAGATATGACACATGCAAATAGAAAAATTTTTCATACTCATGGATTGGAAGAATCAATATTGTTAAAATGGACATACTGCCCAAAGCAATCTATAAATCCAATGCTATTTCTATCAAACTACGAATGTCAATATCATTTTTCACAGAACTATAAAAAACTATTCTAAAATTCTTATGGAATCAAAAAAGAGCCTGAATATCCAAAGCAATCCTAAGCAAAAAGAAAAAAGTTAGAGGCATCATATTGCCTAACTTCAAACTATACTACAAGGCTACAGTAACCAAAACAGCATGGTAATAGTACAAAACTAGACCAATGGAACAGACTAGAGAATCCAGAAATAAAGCTGCATACTTACAGCCATCTAATCTTTGACAACATTGATAAAAATAAGCAATGGAGAAAGGACTCCCCATTCAATAAATGGTCTGCGATAACTGATTAGCCAGCCATATTCAGAAGAATGCAACTGGATTCCTATATTTCACCATATACAAAAATTGACTCAAGATGGATTATGGATTTAAATGTAAGACCTCAAAATATAAGAATCTTAGAGTAAAACCTAGGAAACACCATTCTGGACATGGACCTTGGTAAAGAATTTATGACTAAGTCAGCAAAAGCAATTGAAACAGAAACAAATATTGACAAGTGGGACCTAATTAAACTGAAGAACTTCTGCACAGCAAAAGAAGCTATCAATAGAATACACAGACAACCTATAAAATGGAGAAAATATTCACTAACTATGCATTCAACAAAGGCCTAATGTCCAGAATGTATAAAAAAAATGAATAACTGAACAAGCAAAAAAATCAAATAATTTTATTTAAACATGGACAAAAGACATAAAGAGACTGTTCTCAAAAGAAGACATACAAGCAGCCAACAAGTATATGAAAAAATGCTCATCATCACCAATCATCAGAGAAATGCAAATCAAAACCATAATGAAATACCATTTCACACCAGTCAGAAAGGCTATTAAAAAGTCAAAAAACAACAGATGTTGACACAGCTGTGGAGAAAAGGGAAGGCTTATACTCTGTTAATGGGAATGTAAATTAGTTCAGCCACTGTGAAAAGCAGTTTGGAGATTTCTCAAAAACTTAAAACAGAACTACCATTCAACCTAGCAATCCCATTACTGAATACACATTCAAAAGAAAACAAATTGTTCTACCCAAAAGACACATACTCTAGCATGTTCATTGCAGCACTATTCACAATTAGCAAAGACATGGAATCAACCTGAATGCCCATCAACAGTAGACTAAAGAAAACATGCTATATATACATCAGGGTATACTACACAGTCATAAAATGGAATTAACTCATGTCCTTTGCAGCAATATGGATGCAGCTGGAGGCCATCATCCTGTGAATCAATGCAGACACAGAAAATCAAATACTGCATGTTTTCACTTATAAGTGGGAACTAAATGTTGGGTACTCAAGGACAGAAAGATAGCATCAGTAGATACTGAGAACTACTGGAAGAGGAGGGGAAAGGGGAGAAAGGGTTGAAAAACTGTTGGTTATTATACTCTGTAGATGGGTGATAAAATCATTCCTTCCTAAAACCTCAGCATCATGCAATATACCCAGGTAACAAACCCGCACTTGCACCCACTGAATCTAAAAGAAAAGATGGAAAATAAAAAAGTAAATGAATAAATAACAGAAAACAGAAAACAATAATGGTTAAAGATTTTAGTAACATTTCCTCCATGTATTTAGTTTTGTTGTGTACACTTGCTTTTTGAATCAGGTAGTAAATGAAGGAAAACATACATTTATACTGCCCCTGTATAATTGTATAATTTACCTTTCCTAATCCTGTTTGTTTTCTTGAATACATTCAAATTTCCATTTGGGTTTACTTGCTTCTGTCTGATGAGTCTCCTTCAATATTTCTGGTAAGACAGGTCTTCTAGCAGCAAATTCTCTCATTTCTTGCTTATCTGGAAAGGTCTTTATTTTGCCTTCATTTTTGAAAACTTGCTTTACTGGATATAAGAATTTTGGGTCACATATCTGTTTTTGTTTTTGTTGTTGTTGTTGTTGTTGTTGTTGTTGTTGTTTCAGCACTTTGAATGTGTCATCCCACTGTCTTCTGGCCTTTATGGTTTCCAATGTTAAATCAGCTGCTGATCTTTTTGGGCCCCTCTTACATGTGACAAGGCATCTTCTCTTGCTGTGTTCAATACTTACTTTTTATTATTGGCTTTCAGGATTTTTAGTGTGCTGTGTCTGGGTGTGGATCTCTTTGTATTTATCCTACTTGGAGCTTATAGAGTTTCTTAAATGTTTAGATTACTGCTTCTCAACAAATTTCAGACGTTTTCAGCTTTATTTCTTTAATATATTTTTCTGCTCCTTTCTCTTTGTCTCACTCTTGGTACTACCATTACACAAATGTTGGTGAGCTTAAAGATACTGTATATTTCTCTGAGGTTCTTTTATTTTTCTTCATTCTATTTTCTTCGTAGAAATTTATGAAAACATAATTTCATAAAAATATAATTTATGTTTTCTTCATAGAGAAAACAGAATGAAGATCTTATGAAGATTCTTGCATAATCTCCATCAATCTATTTCAAAGTTTACAGACATTTTATTCTGTCAATTAAAGCCTCCTTTTGAGTTTTCATATATATATGTATATACTTGTATATATATGTATATAAATGTATATGTGTATATATACCATTTTTATATATGTTCATATTCATTTTGACTGCTTTAATTTTCAACACCAGAGTTTCCATTTGGTTCTTTTATAAATATAACTTATATTTCTTATTTAATATTCTCTATCTGATAAAACATTGTCTTCATACCTTCTTTTATTTATTTAAGCATGTTTTCTTTTTAACTTTTTTGGAACATATTATTATCAGCTACTTGGAAGTCTTTGACTGTTGAATATGATACTTTGTTTCTTTTATAGACAGTTCATGTTGTCTGTCTTTTTTTCCTCCTGTGTATGGGTTACACATTTCCGTTTCTTTTTATGTCTCATTGATTTTTTGACAACTAGGAATTGTTTGTAATATACTGCATAATAATATCCCCCTTTCAAGGTTTGTTTTTGCTCTCTCTTCACGTGTTTTGTGACTTGACTAGGCTATTTTAGTGACATTTATTTTCCTTCCAGTGTGAAGACTTACTGTTGCTTCTTAACAGCAGGCAGCCATTGGCATGTGCACAGTCACTCTGGGATGCTGGGATGACAGTGGTTTTAGCAGGGCCCTTTTCAACTGTCTCTCAGATCTCTGTCTTAAGATGGATGCTTCATTTTGTTATATACTGACCCATTAGGCCATGTTAATTATGAGTTGGCTGCTTTATTGGTTTTGATAATGCCTTGAGGCATAAATAGCCCAGCAGTCGAATCTAATAAAATCTGGACAGGGATAATTTATGAAGACAGTATTTGAGGTTTGTTCTGACCACAGAATAGCAGAATGGCTTTTTTTTTTTTTCTATCTCTTTCAATGATTCTCTCTGCTGAGGTAGGTAGCCTATTGTAAACCTTATTGCTGTTAATTAAGAGGAGCTGTTGTCTCTGAGAGTGCTCATAGGGTTTTCATTTCTTCACTCTGTTTCAAGTATTGTCAGTTCATTTGGTAAGAGCTTTGCAGTCTTTTGTTTTATGAACTGACTGTACTCATGAGCAAACTTTCAGAGACACTACTCTGGGTGCTGGGAGGACAGGAATCTCTGGTGTTCTTGGCTTGCCTTTCCTTGCATGAAAACTCTACCTAAGATTAAGCTGGAGGAAGTGTGGTTGGGGCCCCAATATTCTCATCCTTCCATGGCCAAGGTGGAACCACTGTCCTAAAAGTAGGGGTGTGGGGAGAAAGAGAGCCCTTAACTTCTTAGTTACACTCCGCATATATTTACCTTCTTTCTTCAACTCAAAGGTGCAGAAGAGAGAAGGGCTGGCAGCCTAACTCTCAATATGAGATATGGAAAGTCTTGATTGGGAATTGACAGGAGACAAAACCCCATCTTCTTGATACATGTTTCCCTACACTCATGTGGACTAGCACTTCCATCAGACTTAGCTGGGTTGGGGAAGTAGTAAGTAGGTCAGGGCTCGAATGCCACAAATTCTTGCTGTTCTTATTGAGTTTTAGATTTTCTTAAATAAGTATTTCTTTAATTCTGTATGTTCTTAGTACAATTTCCAGAGATTTTTTATATTGTTCTGTTGCTGCCATTGTTGTTTTGAATTTTCATCTGCATTGCTTGTTTTGCTGGGGAATGGGTACGTGGAACTCACCACATTGCCATTTTTGAACTCAGCTATATATTTTTGGTTTTTTTTTTCTTTTTAAATTGAGTATAGTATTTACATGTATGTAGAGCTGGAGGCTGGAACCTTCACATATTAGACCAGAAGAAGCTTAAAGAGTTTTAAACCTCAGACTTAGTTCTCACAGGCACTTGATGTTGCAATATGCATATATAAATCATTTTTGACAAGAGATGATATTAAGACAAAATAAGCACTACCTGCCAAAGGTTAATAGAGCTAGTTGTTATTAGAGTTAGGCCTACATCCCAGCAATTTTGACTCCTGGTAAAGCCACTGTTCATCTCTCTCTCTTTCTCTCTCTCTCACGCTCTATCTCCCTCTCTTATGGGTAAAAATAGAGATACATTTAGTTTGTGACATTGTATTAGTCTAATTAACATATATATTTCTCAAAAAGAAACAGCAAATCAAACTCATCAGCTAATACATAAGCAAGGATTATCTAACAGGAAGACACTTTGTGAAAGTATATAAAAAAAAAAGCAACTAAGATCAACTGCCCACAAAAGAGAAAGGAGGTTTTTGCTTCAACAAAAGCATGATGCACAGGGTGAAAGATTGGATATGGGAAGTAAGAATGGATGAAATAATTAATAAAGATTATGAATGTCACATTGGATGACCAGTAAAATTGCAATGACAGTGATAGAAATTGAGTTTTCAGGAGGCAATAAAGGTTAAAACAAAGGTGGTGGGTTTGGTACTAGAATTCTGCTTGATTATGAAGATTTAGGAAATTACCGCATACATACACACATATACAGTTATGCTCATTTCATATATTTCCCTCAATAATTCATATATAATTCATTTTCAAAATAAATTATGTTTTATCCATGTATGTATGTGTGCACACATGTGTTTCTATGTGTGCTTGAATATGGATGTACATTGTGCCTCTGTATAAATGTGTTGTGTGTATGTGTGTATTTGTGTAAATCTATATTATTATCCTGGAACAATAATGTGGTATTCCTCTATGGGATCCGGATTTGGATGCAGCTGAAATAAAATTCTGGATCCCTTGGCAAGCAAATGTGAATAAGTTATTTGAATTTATTTGGCTGGGTGCAGTGGCTCATGCCTGTAATTCCAGCATTTTGATAAGTCAAAGTGGGCGGATCACTTGAGGCCAGGGGTTCAAGACTAGCCTAGCCAACATGGCAAAACTCCATCTCTACTAAAAAATATAAAGTTAGCCAGGTGTGGTGGTGCGTGCCTGTAGTCCCAGCTACTCAGGAGACTGAAGCACAAGAATCACCTGCTAGAACCTAGGAGGCGGAAGTTGCAGTGAGCTGAGATCCTGCCACTGCCCTTCATTCTGGGTGACAGAGCGAGACTTGGTCTCAAAAAATATATATATGTATCTGCAGATGCCTTATACCAAATAGACTTACTTGTGAATAGTGCATATCAAACAAACACTTAGTGCAATTCATGACACAAAAGTGTTCAATACATATTAGTTTTTAGCTATATGATATAGTAAAGGTAAGGAATATGATGTCAATATATTTAAAATTACTGAACTAGCATAAAATATATCTTCATTGTTGAATGAGAATGGTTTATTTTTCATTTCCCTTTATTATCTATGAAAAAAGGAAAATAATCTTTATTACTTGACTTCTTATACATATATTTTAGAAATATTTATTTAAATTTATGCAGAAAGGACTGGGTGCAGTGGTCCATGCCTGTAATCCCAGCACTTTGGGAGGCTGAGGCAGGCAGATCACTTGAGCCCAGGAGCTCGAGACCAGCCTGGCCAACATGATGAAACCTCGACTCTACTAAAAATAAAAAAAATTAGCCAGGCATGGTGGTGTGCGCCTGTAATTCCAGCTACTTGGGAGGCTGAGGCAGGAGAATCACTTGAACATGGGAGGTGGAGGTTGCAGTGAGCAGAGATCACGTTACTGCACTCCAGCCTGGGCAATAGAGTGAGACTCTGTCTTTAAATAAGTAAGTAAAATAAATGTATGCAGAAAGAAATATCAGAGAATATTGAGTCAACTTAATGGTATTTACAACCCTTGGATGTGAAAGTAATTGGGCATATTTAAATAGATCCAAGTCATTTTCCTACTTGGTACCAGGCTCTTAAGTGTACATCTGTAGCCAGTGTTCCCAAAACTATGGTTCCCTAAATTCACAATGGGCCTTTCATGTGAAAGACTACAAAATTCTTAAGATTATCACTCCTGACAGTAGTAGTTTTTAAACATTTTAAGCTATGATATTATTTGAATCCTGAAGGTGTTTGTATACAATGGTAGCATTTCATGTAAATATACAATGATTATCTGGATATCTGTGGAAAATCTTTGTATTTTTTATGTCCAGACCTGTGTAGTTGTAAATTAATTGAATAATAAAATAATGCTGGTAAAGTTCTATTTAAAGTATTGGCTAGCAGGTACTGTTTTTTTATAATCAAGAGGGCTCAGATGACATTGATACACATGCTCAAATAGTTAGTTGCATGTGGTAGATTTAGATCTTATGATTACATTTCAAGGTTAGACATATAAAAACCCTACATTTGAAGGAAGTCTGGTTTAACTATGGTATTGAAGTTTGTCAGCTTTCTAAAGGACAATTTTCATCCTATTGGCTTATCTTTTGCCTTTTTTAAATAAAGGAGGCCAGAGTAACAGATATTATTTTTTTTGCATGGTTACATGAATATTACAGATTCATTATTTGCGTATTTATTGTTTTTTTCCTCAATCTTTAAAAGATTGAAGGCAAACTTACAGACTTGTTTTGATCATCAGTTATCCTCATACAACAGATAGCTGAACCATTCATTAGGCCATTCATTAGCTCTTGTATATAACACAAGAGCCGTTTTATTCTGAGACTCGTACGGTCATAGGCAAAACAATATAATTTTAAATTATAAAATGTTTCTCATCTCTCATCCAATTAACCTCATGTCACTGAAAACACAAAAGAATAATCATGGTGACTTGGGGATAATTAACTACGTTTTTGTTTGTTTATGCTCTTTTTAAAACAGTTCAGATTAAAGTGATTCTATGAAATTTCTCCTAAAAGTGAACATTTAGTATAAACTGAAACTCAATCTGGGGTTTTGGATGATGATTAATCTTAGATTCTTCTCTCTTCTCAAATGTATGCTATTAATAGCTTAATCAAGCATTTATCGGTATCATGGAATTAGATATAAATTTTTCTTCAATGATTAAAAGTAATTTTATTACTTCATTTTCACATTAAGTGTAATTTTTGCAGTAGAGTTTTTCAAGCTCTGTTAATAACATTTAATATAGCGCCCCTAGAGACAGAAAGAGGCTGCTGCCATCTTCGGAAGTCAGAACTTCTCCCTTCTTACATTTTACAGCCATTGGTATAACTCAACTACATAGAGAAATAAAGAATAAGGAAAATTAAATTTTCTTAAGATTGCATGTAAAAAAGAGTTCTTCAACTTACTATTTAATTGGCTAAAAACGCAAATGTCTACAGTTACTTGACAGGTTGTCTAAATAAACTGGCCTGCTGGAAATGGTGAACTAGAAGATGCTATCTCACTAAAGTGGCAGTAGGTCAGGTTCAAACTCACATCTCTAGCAAAAATGGAGTCCAGTATTAAAATAACTATAGATTGCTTAGAGGAATCCAAATATCTGGGTATGTGTGTACATGTATGTACGTTTGTGTGCGTTTGTGTGAGAATTCTCACAATTCACAAAGCATTGGCTTAAATTTTAAAAACACTTTACTACTTCCCTTTCTTCCTTCCCCCTCAAAAAAATCTATATTTGTTTCAGAGGCCACCATTTTGCAACCTGTATATATCATCATTATTATTGCAATGAGTATTAATATTATATTTTTTACCAATGTACCAATAATTTATTATAATCAAGGTTTATTTGGAAAATAATTCATAAAGTACTATACATTTATGATGGATTTATTAATAGTATTATTACAATGTTAACAGTCTACATAAATGTAGCTTGGTTTAATGGAAAGAGTAATCATTTTAGAAGTCAGTTCCAGTTTTAATACTCAGTTCTTCTACATATTGGCTACAGAAACTTAAGAAGTTTGATTGACTTTACCAAGCCTCAGATTCTCAATCTGTAAAATAATAATACTATTTACATTTCAGGATCATTGTGAAGAATAGAAATGATGCAGTAATAAAGCCTTCTCATAATGTTTGACTTAAAATGGAGACTGTATGGTACATCTATTCAATGACACATTCCACAATCATTAAAATCATTTTTTAATGAAAGCTAGCAACTATCCTATTTTACTTAATACACACAAAAAAATCCTTAATCATTGATATATTTTGGATATCCCAAATATCATGTTGAATTGCAACCTCCAGTTTTGAAAGTGAGGCCTGATGGGAGGGTATTGGGTCATGGAGGTGGATCCCTTATGGCTTGGTGGTGTTCTCATGATGGGAAGTTCTCGTGAGATCTGCTTACTTAAAAGTATGGCACATGCCCCCATCTTTTTTGTTCCTACTTCCACCAGGTGAGATATCTGCTCCCACTTCCTCTTCCACCATGATTTTAAGCTTCCTGAAGCCTCCATCAGAAGCCAAGCAGATGGTGGCACCATGCTTCCTACACAGCCTGCAGAACCATAAGCAAATTAAACCTTTTTCTTATAAATTACCCACTCTTAAGGTGTTTCTTTATAGCAATGCAAAAAGAGCCTAACACAGAAAATTGGTACTTGCTGTAAAGATACCCAAAAAATGTTGAAGCAGCTTCGCAACTGGGTTAACAGGCAGGGATTGGAAGAGTTTAGAGGGTTCAGAAGAAGACAGGAAAAATTTGGAACTTCTTAGAGACTGGTGAAATGTTGTGATCAAAATGCTGGTTGTGATATAAACAATGAATGAGGTCTCAGATGAAAATGAGGAATGTATTAGGAGCTGGATCAAGGATAACCTTTGTTATGCCTTAGCAAAGGACCTAGTTGTATTGTGTCCTCACTCTTGGGACCTGTGAAAGTTTGAACGTGGTAGTGATGACCTTGGGTATTTGTTGGAAGAAATTTCTAAGCACCCAAGCATTCAAGGTGTGACCCCACTGCTTCTAAGAGCCTATGCTCTGATGCAGGCAAAGAAATGACATAAATCTGGAACTTATATTTTAAAGGGAAGCGAGTCTATTAATTTGAAAAACTTGCAGGCTGGCCATGTGGTAGAAAAGAAAAGCCCATTTTCAGGGGAAGAAGTCAAGCAGGCCGTGGAGCCACCACTTGCGAGAAATTTGCATAACTAAAAAAAAAAAAAAAAAGCCAAGTGCTGATATCCAAGGCAATGGGAAACATGATTTGAAGGCTTTTGAGAAATCTTCTAGGCAACCCCTCCCATCACAGGCCCTAGGAGGAAAGAATGGCTTTGTCTAGAAAGGTAAAATGGTTTCAGAAGTCAGGGCTCCACAGCCTCAGTATACTGCTCAGGACCCAGGACATAAGACACAGCACGGGCTCAAGAGACTGCTCCCCACATCCAGGCAACTCCTGCATTAGCCTTGGTTCAGAGGACCCCAGGTACAGCTCAGGCTGCAGGTGGGGTGTAAGCCACTGTAAGCCTTGGCAGCTCCCATGTGGTATTAAGTCTGTGGGCACACAGAATGCAAGAGTAAAAGAGGCTTGGCAGCCTCCACCCAAATTTCAGAGGATGTGTGGAAAAGCGTAGGTGCCCAGGCAGAAGCCTGCTACAGGGGTGGAGCCCACACAGGGAAACCCTACTAGGGCAGTGCCAAGGGGAAATGTGGGGTTGGAGACCCAAGACAGAGTTCTCAGCGGGGCACTGCCTAGTGGAGCTGTGGGAAGGACTCCACCATCCTCCAGACCCCAGAATGTTAAAGCCACTGGAAGCTTGCACCCTGCACCTGGAAAATCTGCAAGCACTAAATTCCAACCTGTAAGAGCAGATGTGGGAGCTAAACCCTGCAGAACCACAGGGTCAGACCTGCCCAAAGCCTTGGGAACCCACCCCTTGAAACAGTGTGTCCGGGATGTGGGACATGGACTCAAAGGAGACTATTTTGGAGCTTTAGGATTTAACAGCTGCCCTGCTGGGTTTCAGACTTGCATGGGGCCTGTAGCCCTTTCTTTTGACTGATTTATCTCTTTTGGAATGGGAATGTTTACCTAATGCCTATATCCCCACCTGATCTTGTAAGTAAATGATTTGTTTTTGATTTTTCAGGCTCATAGGTAAAAGGAACTTGCATTGTCTCAAATGAGACTTTAGAATTTTAAGTTAATGCTGGAATAAGCTAATAATTTGGGGGATTATTGGAAAGAGATTCTTATATTTTGCAATGTGAGAAGGACAGAGATTTGAGGGGCCAGGGTTGGAATTGTATAGTTTGGATGCCCCCTCCAAGCCTCATGTTGAATTGTAATCTCAGTGTTGGAGGTGGGGTACGGGACATGATTAGATCATGGGAGAGGATGTCTCATGGCTTGGTGCTGCCCTAATGATAGTGAGTGAGTACCCGTGAGATATGGTTGTTTAAAACTAGGGCACCTCCCCTCCCATCTTTCTTGTTCCTGCCATGTGAGATGCCTGCTCTCTCTTTACCTTCTTCCATGATTGTAAGCTTCCGGAGGCTATCACCAAAAGCTGAGCACATGTTGGCACCATGCTTCCTGCACAGCCTGCAGAAATGTGAGCCAGTTAAACCCTTTCCTTATAAATTACACAATCTCAGGTATTTATAACAATGCAAGAATGGCCTAACACCATAATATTAGATATTCTAAGTCCACAATAAAAAATAATAGGCCCAAGTTTTACACACACACATTCACCGTCCATCCTTCCATGCATGCATTCATCCATGCACCCATGTAATATTCATTCATTCCTTAACAAATGTGTATTAATTGCAAACTGTATGCCAAGTACTGTGCTAGATAAAGCTGACTTAAGCACAGAAATACATGCTAGTCTCTATTTGCTGTAGAAATTTTGAGAAAACATGGTGACTGAGATAAAATAAGGAATGAGAAAGGAGTGGATGAGGGGTGCAATTTTGATTAGAGGAGATGACATCTAAACCAAAATATGAAAATGTAGAATTTTCCAGCAAAAGGAAGAGTTAAGGTAAGAGTGTCTTGATATATAAAGGTTCCAGGGGAGATGGAAGCTCCAGAGATTAGTTCATTAGAGAAACAGAAGGAAGGCTGACAGGTATGTATTATGTGGCAGTTATAAATTATCTCAATAAACTTTCCTAGTGTGTCTGAAGCTGCCTCACATATCTGAATCAACAATCCACTATCAGTAAAATTACCTGGACATACCTTGCTTTTATCTTTTCTATTTATTTCTTTCCTAATTTTCTAATTCCTTTTCTGAACATTTGTCATGAGGAAATAGACAACATTAAATTATTCCAGAACTAATATAATAACATTAGTATAGACAGTAATAATTATTTGGTAAATATGTGATTAAATGAAATAAACAGTAAAATTGGGACACAGACCAACTGTTAAAATGAGAGGAGTTAAGTAAAGGACTCTAAAGAAGAGAATAAAACGTAAGCATCAATGAAAATGAAACACTCTTCATGAATGCCTCAGGTTGAAACATTTCTAGACTAAGGCCATTATCAATAAGACTTGTATTTACCATAATAAACAATAATACACATACTCTGCCTCATGTCAGGAGTAAGTGGTCTTCCTTCCTATGTCTCAATTCCATTTAATAATTTTTTTAAGGAAATGGAATCACTACTTTTAGTACCCATAAGTAATAATGTTTTTAAATTGTGTGGTACAATAATTTAGTGTAAGTCAATCAGCACATACTCATATCCAAACATAATGCTAGCATTTTGTTTTATTTCTTCATTCACAATTTCGGCACCTATGATGCACAAGACGATCTGCCTAGGATGACAATGTAAATACAAATAACATAAAATCCCTACTCAAAAGACTCCATAAGGAAGATCAGCAAGAATATTTATAATGAAGATGGAGAATTGGTATAGTAGAAATATGTCCTAAGTGTTCTAGAAGCTAAAAGCAGAAAGGATTAAACTATGGGGGAAGTCACAGATGGTTTCTCAAAAATAAAGAGCAACTTATTAGGGCCTTAAAAATGCATATGAGTTCATAAGGTGGTTGTGTCAATATAGTAGAGAGATCTTTGGCTTTTGATATAGAAGTAGAGGACAAAACAATTGATTATATGTAAATACCAAAATATGATGTATCAATTACTGTGTGTTATTGGCATTCAAGATGGACAGTCAACCATATGAACTATTGTTACTAAAGAAGGCTTTGAAGAGAAGAAAATTTAATCTGTGGCTTGGAAGAAATTCTAGGATATGAAGAACATAAAAAAGCCATTGAAGATTATATAACTTGTATAAAATGAAAGAAAGATTCAGTTATGTAACAGAGACTACTTTGGCCCACATGCTCCTTTTGTTTTTTCCCAATTCTACAAATATGCTGTTCACATTGTCACTGAAATCCAACTCTTCCATTCATGCACTAGATGCCATGTTCTTTTGCCTATTCAAAGATGTGGATCCAGTGGTTTACTCACATCATCCTGACACCATAATTTCTTCTCTCTCTTCTAGATATTTTCCCTCAGCTTACACATACATTGTAATTTCTACCGTCATATAAAGCAAATCCTCTCTTGACCTCATTTTCCTCTCCATCTCACACCAATATTTCATTCTTATTGACATCAAAACTCTCTGAACATTTTATCTACTCTCTTTTTCCAATGTCTTCCCATTCACTTTTTATTGATTCCTTCCTAACAGTCTGTGGTCTCCAATCCTTCATTACATGTGCTGTCGTCAAAGTAACCAGTAACCTTCATATGGTCAAATACAATACTTAAGCCTCAGACTTCATCATTCTTGAACTCTCTGCACATTTAACATTTCATCCATCTTGACTGAATAATTTTCCTTACTTGACTTTCAGGACTCCACATACACCTAGGTTTTCTACTACCTCACTTGTCATTCTTTCATCTTCTTTGCTTATTTCACCTCACATCCCCAACCACTAAACAAAGCTCAGTTTTAAGCTGTCTATGCTTATTGTTATATTGATTTGTGTAGTTTTATTATTTCAAAATACTATCTAAAAATAATATCTCCCAAATTTATTTTTCTAATCCAAACTGCTCCTATGAACTTTCATTCTTAAATGTTCAACGGTTTATCAGACATCTATCTCTACTTGTATGTACAATAATAGACATCTCAAAATTATAGTATATTGATCTAAGTTTTTCCTCTCCTCATTCCCCCACATTTACTCCTCACCCAATCTTATCCATTTCAGTTAATGGAAATGTAATCCTTCTTGTTGCTAAGGCCAAACCTTTGGATTCATTCCCGACTTTCAATCAACCAGCATTATCTATTGGCTCTATTTTCCAATATCTTCAGAAAACTCATTACCTCTACTACCGCTCTGGTCCAAGTCAAGAGTATCTCTTGCCTGGGTAATGTCCATAGCCATCTAACTGTTTTGCTATCCTCAGCTACCCCACAGTTTCTTAATAATGAAACAGTTAATTATTTACACAGAAGTCTAGTGATTTTTTGAAATGTACCTCAAAACATATCATTTCTAAACCATCAATGACTGCCTATTTTACCCAGAGTCAAAGCCAAAACCCATTCAATGACTTAAAATATCCTACATGATCTCATCTCGCATTGCATAAGGGTATATTCAAGCTCATTCCTCTGCCTGGAACATTCTTCTTCAATATATTTGATATTCATGATATCAATTTCATTCTTCATCTCAGTCAGGGCTTAGGCCAAATATCATGTTTCCATTGAGTTCTTTTCTGCCCTTCATTTTGAAAATTCCCTACATTTCCTTTTTTCCCACACTATATTCCTCTATACCACTGATCATTATCTACACATCAGTATCTATATTTATAGCTATCTACCTATATAACATTTATTTGTTAATTATTTCTTTTCCTAAAGACAGGGAATTCTTTTTGTCTGTTTGATTAGCTACTGAGTCTCTGGTACCCAGAAAAATGTCCTACATCAGGTAAATATTCAATGAACATTTTAAATGAGTTAATGAATAAATGAATGGATCGGTTTTACTGAGGTTAAAATACTGTATAACATTAAAATTATAGTGGAATATTATGAAAATTTTCAAAATTACTTAGGTATAAATTACCTATATAAGAGTAGAGGATGCAAATACTAAAACTGATAGAGAGTGTGTGAAGTATGGAAAACAGAACTGTGTCCCTGCCCAGTTAGGTAGTGAAAGGGTCATATCACCTATTTTGCCTTCTTTTCCCGTCACAGCTGTCTCTCACAGAAGCAGCAGTAAGGTAGATGCTTTTATACAGTTCCTGGACATAGGGTAAAATAATATTAAACCACATTGTGAGTAATTTATGCTGTTTTTATTATCTGTGATTCCTCCTTTTACAAATCTTGCTTTTTTAACTAAGACAGTGAATCCTTCTGACTCATAATCTTCAAGAAGCAGCCATATTTATAGATAAGGTTTAACAATATTTTGGTTTTACTATACTAATACGATGTATATTTTCTTTTCAGAGCAAAATGTGTCTTCTCTTAAAATACATTTAATTAATAAATTGGTAAATTGATGTAAAAAGAAATATTTAAAATTAACAAGGTTTTGATGTGCAAATATGGCAAAATAATGAAAGTGATACATGAATAAGTGTACATTTTAAAATTTTAATTGAGTAAGCAAATGACTTAAATTTGAGAAAATGGCAAGGTTTTATCCATCCAGGATTAGAACATTTACTCAATAATATTGTCTTAGCCTTATCATAAAACTTTAAAAAAGATTGGCTTGAAATAAAATCTCTTTAACCTCCCTATAAATTCCTTGAGGCACAGCAAGTAGGCTATTAGAATTAGTTAATACATACCTAATTAATGAGTCTGATACTTGAACATCTGCATATTGCTCCTCATTTATTTTCCTTCTCGTGCAAAAACTTTCTCAACAGTCATATTATATATAATAGAGCCAATTAGTAGAGAAGCCTGAACTTCTTGTGAGAAGACATGGTTAGCTTAACATTAAACCTGATTTTCTTACATTATCTCTTTCCATTTCTCTTTTTCCACTGCCATTCTAAGTACAGTAACCATGAGTTACATATTAAAACAAAGAGCCAAGGTCAAGCTATGACAAAAATAATAGGACTAGGTTTGGGAGGTCATTTACTAAATGCCAGCCCTGGGGTGACTAGGGCACTTGAACAAAACTTCCAGAAATTGAAATCATTTCCAGATGTCTCCTCTACACAACTTTACTTGGAGGTGGATAGCTATCAATCACTGTCCCTCATTTGTTAATATGGTCTCACTTCCTCTAATTCCTTTCTGATACCATTTCTCCTTTCAGAAATTGCCACCATTGCTCTCCACCGATTCGTGCTTCAAACCCCAAATAAAATCCCAATTTTCAATGAAGGCTTCTTAGATTATTGTAGCCACCATCAGTCTCTTGTAGTGCTCTGTTAAATGTCATTTTCTCAAACACACAACTAACATTTGGTTTTTAAAATGGCCATTTACCAGTTTTCTGTTGCACAAAATTAGCTGTTTATTATACACAATCTCGTCCTCAATAATCATTTTATATATTTAAAATGTTCTTTTTGGGGGCTACAGGTGGTATTATATTCCTTTTAATAACTACAGGGCCTAGAATACATATGTAGATACTTATACATTTCATGATTTTGTAAACCATTTGGAACAGAAATGTCAACAACTTACATGTTCTAATTGTGTAAGAGAATGCCTGCATGTGTTTTGAAATTTCTGCTCTTGCTGATGAAAGGCTTGCATTTAATAAATATCCAGCTGTGACAGCTAAAATTAACACATCTTTCTGTAACATTAAGTAGAATGCTCCATAAGGCTGCACTGGAGTGGAATGTAGAATTTTCCAATTTTAGAACCTTTAGGAAAATAGGCCACTTTTTTAGCTGCAATTGATGGGGACATCAGTGTGCCAAACATCATAGGTCTCTGTTTTGCTAAATTTATAAATATTATGTAATTATCATTGTAGTAATGAAAGTTATCATTCACTGTAGGCTTACTGGGATGCTGGGCACCTAAGATATTTAAATGTGTTATGCCAACTCTGTGATGTAAGCATGGTTGTTACCCAAAATCTACAAATCAGGAACTGAGGCCCATATAGTCTGTAAAAGACATAGAAATAGAACTCAGTCTGGTCCATTTCAAAGTTTACGCATTGAAGCATTAAGATATTTTTCAGTTAAAACAACAGTAAGAACAAAGTAATCACAGTGAATGGATATAATCCAGAGTCACCCATTAGGTCCAAATCAATTAGCTTAAACCCCACCTTAGGAAAGCGTACCCCATACACATAACCCCCATAGCCAGAAACCTCTCAGTCTCAGGGAAGGCCTCCTTTCCCTTGACCTGCTGTTTATTTCTAATACTTTCTCTGCCTTGGCGGATCCTATTTTGTTCCTCTTCTCTAGTACTTGATTTTCTGCAGCAGTACTTGGTCTCATCTATGTCCCCTTTTGCTGGATTTCAGATACATATCTCAATACCCTTCCTTACCGATATATCTATGGTATATCCCTACTGAGTAGAAACCAACTGTCCCCATATATTCTGGTGGTCATAATTCCTCAAACTGGTATAACACCTAGATTGCTACTTTTCCATGAGGAGGCCTCTATCTGTTCATCAATCCAACAGACATTCTACTAGGTTTCTTCTATGTATCATAGTTTCAGCAATTGTGAAAGACATAGAATGTTACCACGGAGCTGCAACGATCATGGAATCTACACTATGTATTTTGAATTGTGAAGGTTTCCTGTTGCTGTTGTAACAAATTGACACAAATTTAGTAGCTGAAACATCATTAGTTTATTACATTACAATTCTGTAGTCTGGGAGTTTGGCATGAGTCTCCTTGGCTAAAAATCAAGGTGTAAGCATTACTCTCTGAAGGTTCTGTGGGAGCTTCTGTTTCTTTACCTTTTCAGCTTCCAGAAGCTGCCCACATTTCTTGGTGTGTGATCTTCTTCCTCCACCTTCAAAGCTGTCAGCTTTGCATCTGTCTGTGTCTTTCTTACGTAGTAACATCTCCCTATAACTCTCCTCTTCTGTATTCCTTTTCTACATTTTAAATCCTTTGTGTTCACTTTGGGAGGCTGAGGCAGGTGGATCACTTGAGGTCAGGCATTCAAGACCAGCCTGGCCAACATGGTGAAACCCCATCTCTACTAAAAATATAAAAATTAGCCGGGGTAGCGGCGTGTGCCTCTAATCCCAGCTACTAGGGAGGCTGAGGCAGGAGAATCGCTTGAACCCAGGAGGCGGAGGTTGCAGTGAGCCAAGATCAGGCCACTGCACTCCAGCCTGGGTGACAGAGCAAGACCCTCTCTCAAAAATAAATAAATAAATAAATAAATAAATAAATAAAATACCTTTGTGTTTATACCAGGTCAGTTGGATAAATCATGATAATCTCTCTATTTCAAGGTCAGTTGGTAGCAATCTTAATTTTATCTGCAACCTTAATTCAATTTTTCCATGTAACCTAACATATACATGGATTCCAGAGATTAAAAAAAATACATTTCATGTTTGGAGGGGTAGCATTATTCTGTTTATCACAGAAGGTGAAAAGGACATCAGAGAAAGAGAGATCTATGAGAAGCAAAGCACAGAGTATGGAAAGCACAGATAACGTATGGGGAATAGTTGTAAATAGAAGTCTTACCTCATGTTTCATGAAGACATCTTGCAAATGTAGATAACTAACAAGATTGCAAGAGCATATGAGCATTTGTTTCCAGTGGTTTCATTTTTCAAAGTAAGTTATAAAATATTAATAAATAAATAACTATGACAGACAAAGGGGAGCATATAAGTAAGGGGAAGATGAGAAGGAGAAGAGAGAGAAATGAAAGGCCTCAAATGCTAATAACCCAAATTGAAATTAGCAGATTCACTTCAGCCTAAAATATCAGTCCTGACATTTTTCTTGTAGCTTCAGCACATCCATTCAACTCTGAGAAGGTAGATTCTCTTCAACTTTCACTGAGGAGTAGGGTTGGGGTGTAGGAGGGGCTAGTTAGAGAGATGCCAGCTTTAGCCCTCCCAATGTCCAGGCACAGAACATTTGTTTTAGGTCCAATTAAAGGTCTTTGGCTGGAGTCAAGAAATAGACTATTAGGCTCTAAGACAAACAGTGTGAAATTATATTTGTGATGAACCATAGATTTTTCCGAGTACTTTTGGTCAAAGATTATGTAATAATTTTTTATTATATAATATTTTTTAAAATTTTATTTAAATTTAAATTTTTAAAAAATTTTATTTTAGGTTCAAGGGTACATGTGCAGGTTTGTTATGTAGGTAAATTGCATGTCATGGGGGTTTGTTGTACAGATTATTTTGCCACCAAGGTAATGAGCATAGTACCAAATAGGTAGTTTTTTTCAATCCTCTGACTCCTACCACCCTCTACCTCCAAGTAGCCCCCAGTGTCTGTTGTTCCTTTCATTATGTCTATGTTTACTCAATATTTAGCTTCCATTTATAAGAGAACATGTGGTGTTTTACTTTTTGTTCCTGCATTAATTCACTTAGGATCCCAGCCTGCAGTTCCATGCATGTTGCTGCAAAGGACCATGACTTCATTCTTTTTTATGGCCGTGTAGTATTCCATGATATATATGTACCACATTTTCTTCCTCCAGTCTACCATTGATGGGCATTTAGATTGATTCCATGGCTCTGCTACTGTGATAGAGCTGCAATGAATATATGAGTGCCTGTGCCTTTATGGTCGAATGATTTATATTCCTTTGGGTATGTACTCAACAATAGGATTGCTGGGTTGAATGGTAGTTCTATTTTAAGTTCTTTGAGAAATTGCAAACTACTTTCCACAATGGCTGAATTAATTTACATTCCCATGACCTGTGTATAAGCATTCCCTTTTCTCCACAACCTCAACAGCATCTGTTATTTTTTTACTTTTTAATAATAATCATTCTGACTGGTGTGAGATGGTATTTCATTGGGGTTTTGATTCGCATTTCTCTAAAGCAGCAGTTTCCAACATTTTGGGCACCAGAGACCAGTTTTGTGGATGACAATTTTTCCATGGATGAGGTGGGATGGTTTCAGGATAAAATTGTTCCACCTCAGATCATCAGGCATTAGATTCTCATAAGGAGTGGAGTGCACAACCTAGATTCCTTGTGCAGTTCACAACAGCATTCATGCTCCCATAAGAATTTAATGCCACAGACTTCTAGAGGTCCACAGCCCAGTGGTTGGGGACCCCTGCTTTAGAGATTAGTGATGTTGAGCATTTTTTCATATCCTTGTTGGCCACATTATGACTTGTTTTGAGAAGTGTTTGTTCATGTCCTTTGCACACTTTTTAATGGCATTGTTTTTTGCTTGTTCCTTTTTTTTTTTTTTTTTTTTTTGAGATGGTAACTCACTCTGTCTCCCAGGCTGGAGTGCAGTGGTGTGACCTTGGCTCACTGCAATCTCCACCTCCCAGGTTGAAGCAATTCTCCTGCCTCAGCCTCCCAATAGCTGGAATTACAGGCACCACACCTGGCTAATTTTTGTAGTTTAGTAGAGACAGGGTTTCACCATGTTGGTCAGGCTGGTCTCGAGCTCCTGACCTCAGAAGATCCACCCGCCTTGGCTTCCCAAAGTGTTAGGATTACAGGTGTGAGCCACTATGCCTGGCCCTTTGCTTGTTAGTTAAAGTTCCTTATAGATTCTGGATGTTAGACCTTTGTCAGCTGCATAGATTGCAAATGTTTTCTCCCATTCTGTAGGTTGTCTGTTTACTCTGTCAGTAGTTTCTTCTCCTGTCCAGAAGCTGTTTAGTTTAATTAGGTCCCATCTGTGAATTTTTGTTTTTGTTGCAATTGCTTTTGGCATCTTCATCACAAAATCTTTGCCAAGGCCTATGTTCAGAACAGTATTTCCTAGGTTATCTTCCAGGAATTTTAAATGTTTAAGTTTTACATTTAAGTTTTTAATCAATCTTGGGTTGATTTTTGTAAATAGTGTAAGGAAGGCATCCAGCTTCAATCTTCTGTATATGGCTAGCCAGTTATCCCCAAACTATTTATTGAATAGGAAGTCTTTTCCCCATTGCTTGATCTTGTCACCTTTATTGAGGATCAGATGGTTTTAACTGTGCAGCTGTATTTCTGGGCTCTTTATTCTGTTCCATTGGTCTATGTGTCTGTTTTTATACCAGTACCATGCCTTTTTGGTTACTGTAGCCTTGTAGTATAGTTTGGAGTCAGATAACGTGATGCCTCCAGCTTTTTCTTTCTGTTTAGAATTGCTTTGGGTTTTCAGGCTCTTTTTTGGATCCATATGAATTTTAAAATAGCTTTTTTTAGTTTTGTGAAGAATGACATTGGTAGTTTTATAAGAATAGCATTGAATCTGTAAATTGCTTTGGGTAGTACGGCCATTTTAACAATATTGATTTTTCCCATCAATGAGCACCAAGAATCTTTAAGAACTCATTTCCCACTGCTCACCATGGAAAGAAACTTCAGGTATTACTTACAGTAGTTTTTTTTTTTTCCTTTCCTTTCCTCTTTAAAATAAAATCACCTAAATTTTCAAATTTGAAGACTTCAGCAAGCTTTATTTCCTCCAGGAAAATTCTCCAAACTCTATTTTTAGTCAGTCGCCTACATCTTACCATTTAGCATTTGACTGTATACCAATATCTATTATTCCATAAGTTTTCTGCAAGCTTAGAATGATTTTCCAATTTCATTATGAGAGGTGACAGCGTGCTGGCAGCCCTCGCAGCCCTCACTCGCTCTCGGTGCCTCCTTGGCCTTGGTGCCCATTCTGGCCATGCTTGAGGAGCCCTTCAGCCCACCACTTCACTGTGGGAGCCCCTTCCTCGGATGGCTGAGGCCAGAGCTGGCTCCCTCAGCCTGCGGCGAGGTGTGGAGGGAGAGGCACGGGCGGGAACCGGGGCTGCACACAGTGCTTGCGGGCCAACTAGACTTCTGGGTGGGCGTGGGCTTGGCAGGCCCCACACTCGGAGCAGCCGGCTGGCCCCACCGGCTCCGGGTAGTGAGGGGCTTAGCACCTGGGCCAGCAGCTGCGGAGGGTGCGCCAGGTCCCCCAGCAGTGCCAGCCCACTGGCGCTGCACTCGATTTCTTGCCAGGCCTTAGCTGCCTCCCCGTGGGGCAGGGCTTGGCACCTGCAGCCCGCCATGTCTGAGCCTCCCCTCCCCCTGCCATGGGCTCCTGCACGGCCCAAGCCTCCCTGACGAGCGCTGCCCCCTGCTCCACAGTGCCCGGTCCCATCGACCACCCAAGGGCTGAGGAGTGCAGGCGCACGGTGCGGGACTGGAAGCAGCTCCACCTGTGGCCCCAGTGCGGGATCCACTGGGTGAAGCCAGCTGGGATCCTGAGTCTGGTAGGGACTTGGAGAACCTTTATGTCTAGCTAGGGGATTGTAAATACACCAATCGGCACCCTGTATCTAGCTCAAGGTTTGTAAACACACCAATCAGCACCCTGTGTCTAGCTCAGGGTTTGTGGATGCACCAGTCAGTACTCTGTATCTAGCTAATCTGGTGGGGACTTGGACAATCTTTATGTCTAGCTAAGGGATTGTGAATACACCAATCGGCACTATGTATCTAGCTCAAGGTTTGTAAACACACCAATCAGTACCCTGTGTCTAGCTCAGGGTTTGTGGATGCACCAATCGGCACTCTGTATCTAGCTAATCTGGTGGGGACTTGGAGAATCTTTATGTCTAGCTAAGGGATTGTGAATGCACCAATCGTCACTCTGTATCTAGCTCAAGGTTTGTAAATGCACCAATCAGCACTGTGTGTCTAGCTCAGGGTTTGTAAATACACCAATGGATACTCTGTATCTAGCTAATTTAGTGGGGACATGGAGAACTTTTGTGTCTAGCTCAGGGATTGTAAATGCACCACTCAGCATCCTGTCAAAACGGATCAATCAGCTCTCTGTAAAACAGACCAATCGGCTCTCTGTAAAATGGACCAATCAGCAGGATGTGCGTGGGGCCAGATAAGAGAATAAAAGCAGGCTGCCCCAGCCAGCAGGGGCAACCCGCTTGGGTCCCCTTCCACACCGTGGAAGCTTTATTCTTTCGCTCTTTGCAATAAATCTTGCTACTGCTCAATCTTTGGGTCCACACCACCTTTATGAGCTGTAACACTCACCGAGAAGGTCTGCAGCTTCACTCCTGAAGCCAGTGAAACCACGAACCCACTGGGAGGAACGAACAACTCCAGATGCACCGCCTTAAAAGCTGTAACACTGACCGCGAAGGAATGCAGCTTCACTCCTGAGCCAGCGAGACCACGAACCCACCAGTAGGAAGAAACTCCAAACACATCCGAACATCAGAAGGAACAAACTCCGGACACGCTGCCTTTAAGAACTGTAACACTTACCGTGAGGGTCTGCGGCTTCATTCTTGAAGTCAGTGAGACCAAGAACCCGCCAATTCTGGACACAATTACATGCTCTTCAAAGGCCACTTTTAACAAATCTTTATGTCTTCATAGTGATCAGTGTATAATAAATATAGGTGGGACCATCTGAAGGAACCAAGTCAGAGACACTTCTCTTAAGTCAATTAATAATTCAAATGTGTTTAAATTTTTTTGGTCATTGTAATTAGTGCAAGCATTTATGATCATATATATTATGCCTATGTGTGCTTAAGTCTCACCTAATTGCAATAAATAAGAAAAATCGTAATACCACAATTTGTATGTGTCAGAAGACATTTATTGCAACTATTTTCTATATGTTTTCTGATTGAATCTTCATAAAAGCCTTAGATCACAGATCATTGTGAAGATTAGGTGAAGGAATATATATATATATATATATAAAGTGTTAGGCATAGAGTCTGACCAATAATCAGCTTTCAAAAACTGTTAGCTAAAATAAAAAAAATCTATATTTTTCATCAAAACAACTAGAGTTAAATATTTTTAATGCCTCAGTGTTTTGTTATTTAATAAAAATGAATAGCCCCTCAATAACCAGGAAGATATTATTAACAGCATAGTAAGTTATTCTGACCTTGTGTGGCTCATTTTCTTCCCCGTGGACTCTTCACAGTATGCACAGGCATTTGTTAACATTTCCCAAGAGTAGACAGCTTGCTTAATTTTCTTCCTATGGCATCACAATTATTCCATAACTAGAATTTTTAAGTGAGGTGTCTTGAGTGACTGAGTTATAACGACCAGACATTTCAAAGCGTCCACCAAAGCAATATGGGCTGTGCGGAAAGCTGAAGGCATTAATGTAATGGCCTCCCTGTGGAGAGAAGAACAACATGAGAAAGAGTCACATTTTCTTTGTGTTTTCAAATAAAGCATCCAATTTTCAGAACTCCAGAACACTAGAGAAGGATGTCATTCTTTTGATTTGGAGTATAGAACAATTGGGCAGTGGAAGCACGCTGACATACCTCAGGTGGGTTCATGTCAGAGAGACCTGCTGAAGAGCTGTAGGAAGTCAGGCGATGAATACAAAACCTGAGGCAAACAGCAATTGAGTCTGAGTATCTTTGAAAAAAATGCTGCATATTATAGCAAAACTTGAAAGAAAATAGCTATCTCTTTAATTTTTGAAATTAACTACATTAATTGCCATTATAATTTATCAATCATCAAAGCCAGCTTGTGGAATAGAGCTTGGGGTGCTGTTCTTCAAAGTGCTTCAGCAATTCTCAGGATTTAGCATTGCCTTAAGCCAAAATCACCATAGAGGTCCCACCTGCTATTTTAGTGTAAACTTAAAATATTAATGGTGCTGAAGAGCAATATTGCCTTTGACAGCCATCTATCATGTACTCCCTTATTTTATTGTCCAGAGAATTGAAATACTTCAATACTGAAATGGAAAACAGTGGAGAAGGAAACCAGATTTTTCACTCCTTTCCACTCCACATTTTTCATGAAAGTTGAACTATCAAACTCTTTTTCCAGCCCAGGCTTCGTTATGACCCCCTGGGTACATATCATGCTCTGAATCTGGTTCCAACATGTTCCTGACAACTCTTTCTCTTCTGGCTCTGCAATCTAGGGCAAAATTTCAGAAGCTCATTTGATACTTTTTATAAGGAAAGCAATCATTTCACATAGTAGGACAGCTACCTGGGTAATAAAATACTCAACTTCATATATTTAAGTACAATGATGCTAGTATTTACATGACCAGGGAAGAAATAGTTTCTTATTTTTTAGCTTGTTTTGACACCCTATTTTACTTAGTTTTATGGCACTATTAGCTAAATTCATAAGTGTGCCAATAATAACAATAGTAATAGTTGAGAAACCACTCTTTAAATAAAAAGACATAAAATAACTAACCAGTCCAACTTGGGTGAAAAATGTTACAATGTGTCATCTGTTGATTTAATATTTTATTCAACTGTCTTAATGCATATTACGTATATATAACATATGTAACAATAATAATAAAAACAGCATCATTAAAAATTTACAGGGGGATCTGGCAAGATGGCCAAATAGGAACAGCTCTGGTCTGCAGCTCCCAGCGAGACCCATGCAGAAGGTGAGTGACTTCTACATTTCCATCTGAGGTACACTGTTCATCTCATTGGGACTGGTTAGGCAGAGAGTGCAGTCCATGGAGGGCTAGCAGAAGCAGGGTGGGGCATTGCCTCACCCAGGAAGTATGAGGAGTGGGGGGCCTCCCTTTCCCAGCCAAGGGAAGCCATGAGGGACTATGCTATCCAGCCCAGATACTACATTTTTCCCAGGGTTTTTGCAATCTTCAGATCAGGAGATTCCCTTGTGTGCCTACACCATCAGGGACCTGGGTTTAAAAACTGGGCATCTGTTTGGGCAGACACCGAGCTAGCTGCAGGAGTTTTTTTTTTGTTCCCCTCACACTCCCCACCCCCAATGGCACCTGGAACTCCAGCGAGACAGAACCATTCACTCCCCAGGAAAGGGGGCTGAAGTCAGGGAGTCAAGTGGTCTCGCTCAGCAGATCCTACTCCCACTGGGCCCAGCAAGCTAAGAACCACTGGCTTGAAATTCTCACTGCCAGCACAGCAGTCTGAAGTTGACCTGCGATGATCAAGCTTGGTGGGGAGGGGGGAGGATCAGTCTACCATTACTGAGGCTTGAATAGGTGGTTTTCCCCTGACAGTGCCAAAGAGGCCTGGAAATTTGGACTGGGTGGAACTCAACACAGCATAGCAAAGTGGCTATGGCCGGACTGCCTCTCTGTCCCATCTGTTATTCCTCTTCACTGGGCAGGGCATCTCTGAGAGAAAGGCAGCAGCCCCAGTAAGAGGCTTATAGATAAATCTCCCATCTGCCTGGAACAGAGCAGCTGGGGGAAGGAGAGGCTGTGGGTGCAGCTTCAGCAGACCTAAACATTCTTGCCTGGCTGCTCTGAAGAGAGCAGCAGATCCTGACAAGGAGGGTTCTCCCAGCAGAGCACTCGAGCTCTGATAAGGGACAGGCTGCCTCCTCAAGTGGGTTTCTGACCCCCATGCTTCCTAACTGGGAGAGACCTCCCAACTGGGGTTGACAGACACCTAATACAGGATAGCTCTGGCTGGCATCAGGCTGGTGCCTCTCTAGGATAAAGTTTCCAGAAGAAGGAGCAGGCAGCAATCTTTGCTGTTCTGCAGCCTCTGCTGGTGATACCCAGGCAAATAGGGTGTGGAGTGGACCTCTAGCAAATCACAGCAGACCTGAAAATGAGAGGCCTGACTGTTAGAAGAAAAATTAACAAACAGAAAGCAATAACATCAGCATAATAAAAAGGACCCCCACATAGAAATCTCATGCAAAGGTAATCAGCGTCAAAGATCAAAGGTAGATAAATCCACAAAGATGAGGAAAAAACAGCCCCAAAATGCTAAAAATTCGAAACACCAGAATGCCTCTTCTCCTCCAAATGATCACAACTCCTCTCCAGCAAGGGCACAAAACTAGATGGAGAATGAGTTTGACGAATTGACAGAAGGAGGCTTCAGAAGGTGGGTAATAACAAACTCCTCAGAGCTAGAAGAACAGGTTCTAACCCAATACAAGGAAGCTAAGAATCTTGACAAAGGTTACAGGAACTGCTAACTAGAATAATCAGTTTAGAGAAGAACATAAATGACCTGATGGAGCTGAAAAACCCAGGACAAGAACTTCGTGAAGCATACACAAGTATCAATAGCCAAATTGATCAAGTGGAAGAAAGGATATCAGAGATTGAAGATCAACTTACTAAAATAAGGCAAGAAGACAAGATTAAACAAAAAGGAATTAAAAGGAATGAACAAAGCCTCCAAGAAATATGGTACTGTGAAAAGACCAAACCTACGATTGATTGGGGTCCCTGAAAGTGATGGGGAGAATGGAACCAACTTGGAAAACACACTTCGGGATACTATTCAGGAGAACTTACCCAACCCAGCGAGACAGGCCGACATTCCAATTCAGGAAATACAGAAACACCATTAAGATATTCCTCAAGAAGAGCAACCCCAAGACACATAATCATCAGATTACCCAAGGTTGAAATGAAGGAAAAAATGTTAATGGCAGCCAGAGAGAAATGTCAGGTTACCTACAAAGGGAATCTCATAAGACTAACAGCAGATCTCTCTGCAGAAACGCTACAAGTTAGAGGAGTGTAGGGGCCAATATTCAATATTCTTAAAGAATAAAATTTTCAACCCAGAATTTTATATGCAGCCAAACTAAGCTTCATAAGTGGAGGAAAAATAAAATCCTATACAGACTAGAAAATGCTGAGGGATTTTTTTCAGCACCAGGCCTGCCTCCTGAAGGAAGCACTAAATATGGAAAGAAAAACCCAGTACCAGCTGCTGCAAAAACACACCAAAATATGAAGACCAACAACACTGTGAAGAAATTACATCAACTTTTGTGCAAAATAACCAGCTAGAATCATAAAAACAGGATCAAATTCACACATAACAATACTAACCTTAAATGTCAATGGGCTAAGTGCCCCAATTAAAAGACACACACAGGCAAATTGGATAAAAAGTCAAGACCAATCAGTGTGCTACCTTCAGGAGACCCATCTCACGTGCAAAGACACACATAGGCTCAAAATAAAGGGATGAAGGAAAATTTACCAAGCAAATGGAAAGCAAAGAAAGCAGGGGTTGCAATCCTAGTCTCTGATAAAACCAACTTTAAACCAACAGAGGTCAAAATGGACAAAGAAGGGCACCACATAATGGTGAAGGGATCAATGCAACAAAAAGAGCTAACTATTCTAAACATATATGCACCCAATACAGGTGCACCCAGACTCATAAAGCAAGCTCTTAGAGACCTACAAAGACTCCCACACAATAACAGTGGGAGACTTTAACACTCCACTGTCAATATTAGACAATTCAACAAGACAGAAAATCAACAAGGATATTCAGGACTTGAACTCAGCTCTGGACCAAGCAGAACTAATAGACATCTACAGAACTCTCCACCACAAATCAACAGAATATACATTCTTCTCAGCACCACATAGCACTTATTCTAAAATCAACCACATAATTAGAAGTAAAACACTCCACAGCAAATGCAAAAGAATGGAAATCATAACAAACATTCAGACCACAGTGCAATCAAATTAGAACTCAGAATTAAGAAACTCACTCAAAACTGCACAATTACATAGAAACTGAACAGCCTGCTCCTGAATGACTACTGGGTAAATAACGAAATTAAGTCAGAAATAAATAAGTTCTTTGAAACCAATGAGAACAAAGAGACAACATACCAGAATCTATCAAACACAGCTAAAGCAGTGTTAAGAGGGAAATTCATAGCATTAAATGCTCACATCAGAGAGTATGAAAGGTCTAAAATAAACACCCTAACATCACAAGTAAAAAAACTGGAGAAGAAAGAACAAACAAATTCAAAAGCTAGCAGAAGACAAAAAAATAACTAAGATCAGAGCAGAACTGAAGGAGATAGAGACATGAGAAACCTTTTAAAAAGTCAATGAATCCAGGAGCTGGTTCTTTGAAAGATTAACAAAATAGACTGCTAGCCAGACTAATAAAGAAGAAAAGAGAGAACAATCAAATAGACACAATAAAAATGATAAAGGGGATATCACTCCTGATCCCACAGAAATACAAACGACAATCAGAGAATACAATAAACACCTCTATGCAAATATACTAGAAAATCTAGAATAAATGGATAAATTCCTGGACTCATACACCCTCCCAAGGCTAAATCAGGAAGAAGTCAAATCCCTGAATAGACCAATAACAAGTTCTGAAATTGAGGCAGTAATTAATAGCCTACCAACCAAAAAAGCCCAGTACCAGAAGGATTCACAGTTGAATTCTACTAGAGGTACAGAAAGGAGCTGGTATCATTCCCTCTGAAACTATTCCTAACAATAGAAAAAGAGGGACTCCCCCCTAACTCATTTTATGAGGCCAGCATCATCCTGATACCAAAACCTGTTAGAGACACACACACACACACAAAGAAAATTTCAGGCCAATATCCCTGATGAACCTCAGTGTGAAAATCCTCAATAAAATACTGGCAAACAGAATCCAGCAGCACATGAAAAAGCTTATCTACTATGTTCAAGTCGACTTCATCTCTGGGATGCAAGGCTGGTTCAACATATGCAAATCAGTAAACATAATCCATTACATAAACAGGACCAATGACAAAAATCTCATGATTATCTCAATAGATGCAGAAAAGGCCTTTGATAAAATTCAACACCGCTTTATGCTAAAAACTCTAAATAAACTAGGTATTGATGGAACATATCTCAAAATAATAAGAGCTATTTATGACAAACCCATAACCGATATCATACTGAATGCCCATCATATTGAATGCCCATTCAGTATGATATTGGCTATGGGTTTGTCATAAGGGATTGTCAAAGGGAATGGGAAGCATGCCCTTTGAAAACCGGCACAAGACAAGCATGCCCTTTCTCACTACTCCTATTCAACATAGTGTTGGAAGTTCTGGCCATAGAAACCAGGCAAGAGAAAGAAATAAGGGGTACTCAAATAGGAAGAGAGGAAGTCAACTTATCTCTACAGATAACATGATTGTATATTTAGAAAACCCCATCATCTCAGCCCAAAAACTCCTTAGTATGACAAGGAACTTTAGCAAAGTCTCAGGTTACAAAATCCGTGTGCAAAACTCACAAGAATTCTTATACACCAATAATAGACACGCAGAGGGCCAAATCGTCAGTGAACTCCCATTCACAATTACTACAAAGATAATAAAATACCTAGGAATAGAACTTACAAGGGACATGAAGGACTTCTTCAAGGAGAACCAGAATCCACTGCTCAAGGAAATAAGAGAGGACACAAACAAATGGAAAAACTTCCATGCTCATGGATAGGAAGAATCAATATCATGAAAATGGCCAAACTGCCCAAAGTAATTTACAGATTCAATGTTATTCCCATCAAGTTACCATTGACTTTCTTCACAGAATTAGAAAAAAAACTACTTTAAATGTCATATGGAACCAAAAAAGAACCCATATGTCCAAGACAATCCTAAGCAAAAAGAACAAAGCTGGAGGCATCACACTACCTGACTTCAAACTAAGGCTACAGTAACCAAAACAGCATGGTACTGATACCAAAACAGATATATAGACCAATGGAACAGAACAGAGATCCCAGAAATAACATTACACATCTAAAACCATCTGATCTTTGACAAACCTGACAAAAACAAGCAATGGGGAAATGATTCCCTGTTTAATAAATGGTGCTGGGAAAACTGGCTAGCCATATGCAGAAAACAGAAATTGGACTCCTTCCTTATACCTTAAACAAAAATTAACTCAAGATGGATTAAAGACTTAAACATAAAACCAAAACCATAAAAACCCTTGAAGAAAACCTAGGCAATACCAATCAGGACATAGGCATGGGCAAAAACTTCATGACGAAAACACCAAAAGCAATTGTAACAAAAGCCAAAATTGATAAATGGGATCTAATTAAACTAAAGAGCTTCTGCTCAGCAAAAGAAAGTGTATCATCAGAGTGAACAGGCAACCTACAAATGGGAGAAAATTTTTACAATCTATCCATCTGACAAAGGTCTAATATCCAGAATATACAAGGAACTTTAAAAAAATTACAAGAAAAAAAAACAAGCCCATCAAACAGTGGGTGAAGAATATGAACAGACACTTCTCAAAAGAAGACATTTATGCAGACAACAAACATGAAAAAAAGCTCATCATCATGGGTCATTAGAGAAATGCAAACCAAAACCACAATGAGATACCATCTCATGCCAGTTAGAATGGCGATTATTAAAAAGTCTGGAAAGAACAGATGCTGGTGAGAATGTGGAGAAATAGAAACGCTTATACACTGTTGGTGGGAGTGTAAATTAGTTCAACCATTGTGGAAGACAGCGTGGGATTCTTCAAAGATCTAGAACCAGAAATACCATTTGACCCTGCAATCCCATTACTGGGTATATACCCAAAGATTATAAATTATTCTACTATAAAGACACACACATGCACGCATATGTTTATTGCAGCACTATTTACAATAGCAAAGACTTGGAACCAACCCAAATGTCCATCAACGATAGACTGGATAAAGAAAATGTAGCACATATACTCCATGGAATACTATGCAGCCATACAAAAGAATGAGCTCATGTCCTTTGCAGGGACATGGATGAAGCTGGAAACCATCATTCTCAGCAAACTATCACAGGAACAGAAAACCAAGCACTGCATGTTGTCACTCATAAGTGGAAGCTGAACAGTGAGAACACATGGACACAGGGAGGGGAACATCACATGCCAGGGCTTGTCAGAGGTTGGAAGAAAAGGGAGGGAGAACATTAGGACAAATACCTAATGCATGTGGGGCTTAAAACCTAGATGACGGGTTGATAGGTGCAGCAAACCACCATGGCACATGTTTAGCTATGTAACAAACCTGCACTTTCAGCACAGGTATCCCATAACTTAAAGTAAAAGAAAAAAAAAAAAGAAAATTTACAATAGCATTGTAATGGCTAAATCTTTATCACCCATCATGTTAATTAACCCTCATAAAATAATTTTATGTTTCCAGTACTATTGTTTCACAAGCAAGAGAAATACAACACAGTGTGGTTTAAGATTTTTGCCTAAGATCACAGAAGCGCATAGTAGTTAGGGTTTGAACCTAGGCAGCCTGACAACTAATGACCACACTCTGAAGACCCTCATATACTTTGAAGATAGTTGTTTAATCCACTTCTTTTCTCATATAGAAAAAAGGAATTGAGGATGGAAATCTAATATTTGATGAAGACTCAGTGTGCAAGTAATCATGGAGACACTATATTGTTTTATTCTAGTGTCCTTGTAATTTTCTTTATAGAGCACCAAAACAATAAACTGCTTCTCAAATGGTCGTATTCAAGTGCTTTATAATATTAACTCATTTGGTGTGCATAACAACTCTATGAGGTAGGTTTTATTATTATGCCCATTTTCCAATTCAAGCATCTTGTGTGCAAAGAATTAAGTAATTTACCCAAGATTATTCAGCTGATGAGTGGCAAGATATTCACATACATGGTTCTTTATAGTTACAATGAATCTCATTACCAGTTCAATGAAGTGAATGGTTCCCACACTCAGAGGATACTCTTTTGTTAACACCTGTACTTTAACCAAGAAAGGCTGGGATATGACTGTCAGCGATGGGACATTTTTATTTTCTGTCCTCTAGGAGTTGATTAAATAAGTTCTTTTTCACAAAAATCATTGGGCTAATTTAAATTTCTCACAGAATGGCTAAATTATTCCTCATAGCTCTTTCTGAAACACTGGCCTTCCTAGGTTCCTAAGAACAGAAAAGCCAGTTAAGCTGTTGTATATACAAGGGCAATGATGGCAACAGACTTCACCTTGAGAGATTTAGTATCAGCTTCTCCGATCAAAAAAAAGTTTTAGGAATGATCTCAACATTAGGTATGCAACAAGATGCAAAATCCAGGCTCTTATTTTCTAAAACTCACTATTTGTATGAGCTTCATGACTTAAAGTATGACAGGAAGTTATTGGTTTTGAAATTCTGATACTAGAAATTACAAATATCCAGTAGAACTTAATAACACATATGTATTAGTCCATTTTTGCACTGCCAAAAAGAAATATCTAAGTCTGGATAATTTATAAAGAAAAGAGATTTAATTGGCTCATGGTTCCACAGGCTGTACATGAAGCATGGCTGAGGAGGCCTCAGGAGACTTACAATCATGGCAGAAGGTGAAGAGGAAGAAGGCACCTCTTCACATGGTCAGAGCAGAGGAAGAGTGAGAAAGGGGAGGTGCTACACACTTTTAAATAACCAGATCTCATGAAAACTCACTCACTATCACAGGGAGAGCAAGGAGAAGTTCTGCCCTCAGGATCCAATCACTTCCCACCAGGCCCCTCCTTCAACACTGGAGATTACAATTTGAAATGAGATTTGGGTGGGGACACAAATCCAAACCATATCATTCCGCCCGTGGCCCCTCCCAAATCTCATGTCCTTCTCACATTACAAAAGACAATCATTCCTTCTCAATAGTCCCTCAAGTCTTAACTCACTTCAGCATTAACTCAAAAGTCCACAGTCTAAAGTCTCATCTGAGACAAGGTTCATTGCTCCCACTTATGAGCCTATAAAATAAAACACAAGTTAGTTACTTCCAAGATGAAATGGGGGGAAATGCATTGGGTAAATACTCCCTTTCCAAAGGGGAGAAATCTGCCAAAAGCAGGGGTGACAGACCTTGTGCAAGTCCAAAACCCAGCAGGGCAGTCATTAAATCTTCAAGCTCCAAAATAATCTCCTTTGACTCCATGTGTCAGATCCAGGCAACACTGATCCAAGGGGTGGACTCCCAAGGCCTTGGGCAGCTCTGCTCCTATGGCTCTGCAGGGTACAGCCCCTGCAGCTGCTTTCATGGGCTTTCATGGGGTGTTGAATGCCTGAGGCTTTTCCAAAAGCATGGTACAAGCTGTCAGTGGATCTACCATTCTATTCTGGGGTCTGAAGGATGGTGGCCCTCTTCTCACAGCTCCAATAGGCAGTGCCCCAGTGGAGACTCTGTGTGGGGGCTCCAAACCCACATTTCATCTTGGCACTGCCCTAGTAGACATTCTCCATGAAGCCTCCACCCTTGCAGCAGACTTCTGCCTGGACATCCAGGCATTTCCATACATCCTCTGAAATACAGGTGCAGGCTCCCAAGCCTCAACTCTCACACTCTGCACCCCTACAGACTTAATACCATGTGAAAGCCACAAAGTCTTATGGTTTGCACCTTCTGAAGCAACAGCCTGAGCTGCCCATTGGCTCCTTTTAGCCATTGATGGAGCTGGAGCAGCTACAATGCAGGGGGCCATGTCCTGAGACTGCACAGAGCAGGAGGGCCCAGGCCCTGGCCCACAAAACCATTCTTCCCTCCTACACCTCCAGGCCTGCAATGGGAGAAGCTGCCTTGTAGATCTCTGAAATGCCTTCAAGGCATTATCCCCATTATCCTGGCTATCAACATTTGGCTCCCCTTTACTTATGCAAATTTCTGAAGCCAGCTTGAATTCCTCCCCAAAAATGGGTTTTTCTTTCCCACCATATGGCCAGGCTGCAAACTTTTCAAACTTTTATGTTCTGCTTCCCTTTTAAATATAAGTTCTAGTTCTACATATTTTTTGCTCATGAATATGAGCATAAGCTTCTAGAAGCAGCCAGGTCATATCTTGAATGTTTTGCTGCTTAGAAATTTCTTCCATCACATGGCCTAAATCATCACTCTCAAGGTCAAAGTTCATAGATTTCTAGAGCAGGGGCACAATACTTCCAACCTCTTTGCCAAGACATAACAAAAGTGATCCTTGCTTAAGTTCTCAGTAACTTTCACATCTCCATCTGAGACCTCTTCAGCCTGGACTTCATTGGCCATATCACAATAATCAGTTTGGTCACAATAATTTAAGAAGTCTCTAGGAAGTTCCAAACTTTCCATCATCTTCCTGTCTCCTTCGGAGCCCTCCACACTCTTCCAACCTCTTCCCATTACCCAATTCCAAAGCTGCTTCCACACTTTCAGGTGTCTTTATAGCTGTGTCCCACTTCTTGGTACCAATTTTCTATATTAGTCTGTTCTCGCACTGCTATAAAAAATACCTGATACTGTGTAATTTATAAAGAAAAGAGGTTTAGTTGGCACATGATTCCACAGGCTGTACTGGAAGCATGGCCTGGGAGGCCTCAGGAAACTTACACTCATGGCAGAAGGTGAAAAGGAAGGGGGCACTTCTTCACACGACCAGGGAGGAAGAGAGCAAAGGCGGAGATGCTACACACTTTAAAACAACCAGATCCCATGAGAACTCACTATCATGATAATAGCAAGGGGGAAATTTGATCCCATGATCAAATCACCTCCCACAAGGCCCCTCCTCCAACACTGGGGTTTACAATTTAACATGAGATTTGGGTGGGGACACAAATCCAAAACATGTCAACATTTATTATTTAAAACATTACCTTGTGTGTTTTAAAAATTGATATTTCTCTGAAGTATATTCTTATGACAAAATCATTTATGTCTGGAAATTATCTACGTAGTTTCAAAAGGTAAAAATAATTAAATCAGTAAGACATTAGAGATAATCTAAGTAGCAAAAGTGCTATAGAGATATGGAATATCAAAGTGGAGAAAAATTCCTAGTGAAATAAAAATTGAAAAGACATAAAAGTGTGATTTAATTGGGTCAATTGCCATGGGTTAATAAAGCTGTGGCTACTGACCACATTAAGGCAAGGAGATAAGTTTTCACAAAGTACTTCAAGGAGGCTTGTCTTTTCTTACTTGCCTGCTTGCTTGCTTTTCTCCTTTCTTTCTTTTTTTAATGTTGACAACAGAGATTAATGAGCAGCAATTCCTGCCAATTGAAACATTCATCTTTTTAGTTTATCTCCAGAAGATTAAACATAGTTCCAGAATATTAATCACTTTGTACAACCCAAAAATCTATACATTGCCTGATGAAATGTTTGATCAGCACATTTCATTTTCATGATGAACTGGGAAAAGATAAAAATAAAGTTTTTTTTACTGCAGATTATTGTAGATTGGCTTATTTAAAACAAACACATAGCCTGACATACAATCCACTGAAAACAATTTAAAAGCCAAATCATTTCCCGAGAAAAGCAATATCTTGCTGATAAAAACTGGTATGAGGCTGTAAGCCTCATGAGAGCCAGCATAGTGTTTTACTCACAGCTGCATTTCTAATACTGTTATATGGAGTAAATGTCCTCAGACCTTTTAAGTGAATGTATCTCTTCCATACAACAGCTTCCTGAAAAAGTCTGGATGCCAGAAGTTCCACATCAACTCACCTTTTCAACCCACTCTTGAAATTGCCAAGCTCAGTACTCCAGTTCCAAATGCCTGCAACTTGTTTTGCAAACTTATGCGTATAATATTTTGAATCCTGGCCCTCATAATCTATGCAACTGGGCTTTTCCTTGGGCTCCATCAATGTGCCATTGTAGGTAACAAATACTTCCACTGCCTGTCGTATCTCCTCAGAACTCATCTTAACCAGGTGAGTTCACCCAATTTTTCAACAACCAAAGAGAATGAGATTAAGAGCTCACTCTTGAGAAAACAGCCAGGTATGGTTGTGGGCAATGGTTTATGAGTTTCTGAAAAAAAGAAGCTTTTCAGAAGGAAAAAAAGAAAAGTATGTGACTACTTCTACTCTAAGTGAAAAGAAAACAGATAAATGATTCGTCCCACATAAACATCATAGGATCTCTCTGCTGATGCAGTTTTCATCTTGCACAGTACGTTATTGTACTAACGATGTCTCTTACTCTGCTCCCAACTTTCTAGTGAGGAAGCAACTATGTTTAAAATTGCTTCCCACCTGGGATGGCCATTCTCCTGCGGAAATTCCTTCATTTTGGGGGCTTGGAAAAACCTGCTCAAAATATGTAATTCTTATGCAAGTACAGTCTGTGCACTGCACACCAGGCCTATGGTTCCTCACCAAAGCCCTATTTCTATTTTCTTTTCTTCAGCCTCTGAGTTTCAAGCCAGTAATTTTCCTCTTCTGACTTCAAGGGAAAGACCAAATTCAAAAAATAAACATAAAAGTTATTTCCTTAGTATACATGCATTATGTATAATAAGATTATTATAAGCTTCTCCTTTTCAGAATATCAACCACCAGAGATAGGTATTATGAATTACATTCTACAGGCACTGCCCAATTTTCACCCTGGTACCTACACATTCATGCTCAATAGTTTCCCATTTAAAAATGTCTTGCCATAATCATGTACTGTATGTGCAGAATCATACTTCACTATTCCCAAAGGGGAATAAAAATAACTCAGTACAGCAGGCTAAGAGCACACTGTTTCATGTTTCCAACAGAATATCTCTTTGAAAAACAATCCTCGTGGATTGTAAATAATGGCATCAACCAATCACCACTTGAGAAGAAAACTAACACAGTAATTGAGATTTCTTCCTAGAGTGACCAAGAGAATGGCTCGCCTATTTTTACAAGAGTTAAAAACAAGCTGCAAGCTCCCAGTCTGTCCTCTGTCCTTATAAAGAGTCAACAACATTTTGTCGTCTATCAATATCCCATTTGGTGTATCTCAACCTGCTGGGGATTTTTGTGTCTTAGTTTATTAAAATAAATGTTGTACTTTCTTGGTGTGACCAAAAATAAACGATGGCTCATACTGTGCGTGGGTTCTTGCTCATGGCAGTCCAGACTGCTAACAGATTGCTAATATGTTAACAGCGCTATTATAAGACTCTCAAAGATGCAATTTTTAATGCCATTTGTGAAGTTGAATTCTCCACGGTAAAAGAGTATTGCATGGGAATGTCGGGATAGATGCTGAGAAGTCCATACACTTTCTACATGCAGATATGTCTGCAGATGTTTAAGAGCTCCAGATGGCTGAGCTTTTTAAGGTAACATTCTCCACGATGTGCCCATTCTGGGCACCAGAATATTGGATGAAATGGTATAATAGAATCTGTGCCTTTTGGCCAAGATCTGCATATCATAAAAGGTACTCTAAATGCAGAAGTTTCTAGAAATGATGGAGGTTATAAAAAATTAAGATTGATTGTACTCAAATAATGGAATTAGATATATTTTTGTTATTTCTTCCAAAGATACTAGTGAAAATCTTTAGCCAGACATGACTCAAGAGTGTCTCTAGTTCTAGTATAATCCATGTTTTCTATGTATTATTTACATGTGTTACTATTGTTTTTACTCTTAGGCTGTTTGTCCTACAGAGTCTTGGCACTAATATTGTAAAGTGAGATTCTGGCTTTAGCTAGGAAGAGGAAAAATATCTGAGAACAAGAAAATATATCTGACACATGGACCATGCTCTATAAATGCATTCCAGTAAAGTTTCATGGAAGGATATGTCCTAATTTTTTGAAAATTATGTGTTCTGTTTCTAAAAGTTGCTTGTTATTGCTAAGAAGAAATTCTGTAAAAGTTTATCATGGTTGCCTCCCTCAATCTTCAGATAAGTACTGTTGGTAAGACTCAGTCATTGATCTAGATTGACCAAGATAGGTGTTCACACAAACAAATGTCATCAAACAGTTAGTGGGTACTATAGCGAATACTCTATAATCATAAAATTCCTACAAGATTATAAACATTCTAATTTTACTTTTTATTATTCAACACTCTTTTTTCAAAATAAACAATATTCATTTGTTTCTAAAATTGAAGTCATAAAGGAGTCATCTGACTTTAAGCAGAGCAAAATTCAGGTGCCCACATAACATTTTATTGGTTCTCTCATTCTCTCCAGTAATTGTTTTCCATTGTGCTGACTTTAGTTGGAAGCACATTTGTTTAAAAATATTTAAACATCCTTCCAGACTTGCCATCCCATTAGATTTTCTAGTAATTTCACCTAAAATCTTAGCACTATTGTTCACTCATACTCTTTGACTATGCCTAAGTCATGTGCTTACCTCTGAATTCACAGAGCAGGTTCAGCACCAACTGAAATGTAAACATTGAATCTAAGGGAAGGCTAGCTCCCAAAAGAAGCCCAGGAAGCTGTTATTAGAAGGGAGCTGAATGCATGCTGTGCTGACCAAAACAATAGGTACCCACTAAACCTTCATCTTGCAAAGAATTACATTGGAAGCTTTGATAATGTGTCAAGTAAGTAAAACAGAAAGTCACACCCAGGCTGGCTGACCCCAAAGTCACTCTTGACAAACGTACCACACTCTCTATCAGTATCAATTAGATTAGCTCTAGTCTACAATAAAACCTAAGATTGTTTACGCTGATCCATTCTCTAGAACAGTAATTTAACAAGCGGAAGTAGATCTGTTTTCTTCACAAATTTAATCTGTGAATTTTGCTTTTATATTTTGCTTTTAAAAAAGCAAAATTCAGGTTTATATATGCATAACAAAGAGGTATATTCCACTGGGATCCTGCCCTACCATAAGGGCATAGTATAAAGAGCCTCAAATTCCCAGATGGAAAGAAATCTCAGTCAAATGCATCGTCAATATTTAGTTGTAGTTTTGAGTTTTTATATTATTTTAAGTGTAAGCAATGTATTTAAACCTGATTTCTATAAGCATAGCTCTGCAATGTGACAAAACAAAGAGCTAAGGCAGACAAAATAGAGGGTAATTAAAAGAATTTTCTTATAGTATCTCTTTTTAAAAACTGCCATTTCTCACTCTTTCTGATCAATGATAATAATTTATTTATTCTTATTTTTTATTTTTGTGGTTACATAGTAGATGTATGTATTTATGGCATACATGAAATGTTTTGATACAGGCTTGCAATATGAAATGAACACATTGTGGAAAATGGGGTATCCATCCCCTCAAGCATTTATCCTTTGAGTTACAAATAATCCAATTACACTCTTTAAGTTACTTTAAAATGCACAGTTAAGTCATTATTGACTATAGTCACCCTCCTGTGTGATCAAACAGTAGGCCTTATTCATCCTGACTATGTTTTGTACCCATTACCCATTCGTATCACCCTTCCAGCCCCCGACTACCTTCTCCAATCTGCCTACGTCTATGTTCATAAGTTCAATTGTTTTCATTTTTAGATCCCACAAATAAGTGAGAATATGAGATGGTTGTCTTTCTGTATCTGGCTTATTTCACTTAACATAATGATCTCCAGTTTCATCCATCTTGTTGCAAATGACTGGATCTCTCTTTTTTTTTATGGCCAAACAGTACCTCATTGTTTATATGCAGCACATTTTCTTTATTCATTTGTCTCCTGATGGACACATAGGTTGCTTCTGAATCACAGCTATTGCCAGCAGTGCTGCACAAACACAGGAATGCAGATATCTCTTTGATATACTGATTTCCTTTATTTTAGGTATATACCCAGCAGTGGGGTTGCTGGATCATATGGTAGCTCAATTTTTAGTTTTTTTTAGGAACCTCCAAACTCTTCTCCATAGTGGTTGTACTAATTTATTAATACATTCCCACCAACAGCATACAATGGCTTTCTTTTCTCCACATCCTCGCCAGCATTTGTCATCGCCTGTCTATTGGATCTAAGTCATTTTAACAGGACTGAGATATCTCATTATAGTTTTGATTTGCATTACTTGACAATTAGTAATGTTAAGCACCTTTTCATATACCTGTTTGTCTTTTGTCTGCCTTCTTTTCAGAAACGTCATATTCAAATTTTTTGCCTATTTTTGATTGGATCATTAGATTTTTTGCCTGTAGAGTTGTTTTAGCTCCTTACATATTCTGGTTCTTAATCTTTTGTCAGATTGGTAGCTTGCAAATATTTTGTCTCATTCTGTGGGTTGTCTCTTCACTTTGTTGATTGTATCCTTTGCTGTGCAGAAGCCTTTTGACTTGATGTAATGTCATTTGTCCATTTTTGTTTTGGTTGCCTGTGCTCACGATGTATTGCTCAAGAAATGTTTGCCCAGACCAATGTCTTAGAGATTTTCCCTAATGTGTTCTTGTAGTAGTTTCATAGTTTGAGGTCTTAGATTTAAGTCTGTAACCCATTTTTATTTAATTTTTATATATGGTGAAACATGGGGTCTAGTTTCATTCTTCTGCATATGTATATCCAGTTTTCCCAGCACCATTTATTGAAGAGACTGATTTTTCCCCAGTGGATGTTCCTGTCATCTTTGTGGAAAATGAGTTCACTATAGGTGTGGACAATCACTTTTAAAAAGGGTTTCTGAGGTTGGAGAATAGGTCAAGACTTACAGAACTAGATGTATCTGATCACATAGGACTGTAGCCTACGATCTGAGTCCTATATGGCCTGCTCTCCAGCTAACTAGCCTCTCACTATGACTTCTAATTTAAAAAAAATGCTCATTACACCACAGCTTTCTCGGAAGAGCTCATGCTGCTTTATAGAAAACATCTTCAAAAGCAAGGAAGAAAATATCCATTGTCTCACACAGTAGTCATGTTAATTATGACATTATCATTTTCAAGATGAGTAAACATAGAGGTTAAATTACTGTGGAAGGTAACGCATTTCCTGTTTGAAGGAGAGTGGCGATTTTGTTTGTAAAATTTGGAGACCTTTAAACAGACAGCATTATCTAAGCAGTCACAGATCAACAATCACTGCACCCTCTGGCTGTAGCAGGGAATGCATATACCCTCATATATCATGTGTTGTTGTTTCTCTCCTACATGAGTAATTAATTAATCTTTGTAATGATGCATAAACTGCTAGATTTTTTCAGTTTTGCATTTAGTTTTATGTAAAATATCATAAATTTATTTAAAGATGTTTCTCCTAAATCTCATGAAATGTTGGTATTTTAACCATATCATATAACTGAAACTCTATAACCTCAATTTTGTAGTAATTTAGCATATGAAAAAAATGTGGAAAATTGCATATATGTAGCTAATTCAACTAAAACGTAGTAACTTTCAAATTCTTTTTTTAACCCAAGATACAAGTCCAAGTGGCATCAACAGCAAGCCTATGTGGGAATTCCTAGATAGGTTAGTGAGAAAAGTGGACTTTTATGACTGAAGGTCCATCCAGCAAGTTATTTGATGTTACACCAACCATTTTTCTATTCTTAACTTTCATAATGACAAATGTTAAGCATCTGTTTTCTGATGCTTTAGAGTATTATAAAAATGTAATGAAGCCATTTGAACTATCTAAGTACCCTTAAGACAGCTCAATTCCTAAAGAAATTGTCAATATTGATGTGTTGACCAGAAATCCTTATTCATAGAACATAAAAAGATTTCACTCAAGATTGTATTCACTTCCAGACATGATGGCACAAGTCTGTAGTCCCAGCTCTTTCGGAGGCTGAGACAGGAGGATTGCTTGAGCCCAGAAATTCAAGGCTGCAGTGAGCTATGATATCAGGCACCACTGTACTCCAACCTGGACCACAGAGTGAGACCCTATTTCTTTAAAAATAATTATATTCCTAAAAATTTTATTTTTTTACTGAGCAAATATGTATCCCAGTATATTAATTAAAATACACTATAGTAGACAGAATAAATGAGACAAATTTTCTGCCTTCATGTGGCTTTCAAGATAATAATGTTCATTAAGCATGTATAATAATTTTAATACAGTTAAGATGTATTAATAATTTCTGTCATAAATTAAATACTATCTTCCATGGAATTTTAGAATAAAGAGTGGCTATTTTCAGGTAAGACTGTAATGTTAAGAACAAAAAGGAATGACTCTGTGGATCAGGAAACATTTGAAGAAGTCCTTCAAGAATAGTCACAATTTTTAATTCAATAGGCATTGAGTCAATATGACACAGAAATAGAAAGGCACATAGATAGTTCACACACGAATCGGAACCAAAGCACAAAGGACTGAACAGAAGACCATATAATTAAAATACACTAGAGATATCAACTTTTCCCCCAACCCCAACATTCCCTTCTTGGAGAACATACTTAATCCAGAGAAGCATGGTTTATATTATACACAACATTGGCCACACCTGGTTTAACCAGATTGGGCACAAGATCAAATCCAGGACAATCACATATTTTCTTTTAGAAATTCGTATTTGTTACAAACAAAGATTCAAGATGGTCTGTATGAGCTTTTCGATTTGGACAGCACTTTGAGTAAGGGTTGAAGCAGATAATCTGAGGGCAGATTTATTTGAATCAGAAAAAGCCAATGTGGATAGAGAGGAGAAAATTAGGTAGAAACAGAGAAAAGACCATGTGATCCCAGAAAGAGAGACAGACAGAAGGAAAACTTGCCCTGTTTCTTACCCATATAGTAATTCTAGTTGTGGTCCACCAAATCTTCTCTGTATGCTCTGCTCTTGCTATGCCTCAGTTCTCCCTATTCCTCTTCTATCAGTTTATATTGATTGCAAAAACACGAAGAAATATTTTGGATAAGCTAAGCAAAACTTGAAAAGATTGGAGATAAACTAGGTAGCTTAGTTAATGACTGAATGTCTCATTTCAGGAAAGAAACAAGAGATGAAATGAGAACAAAAGCCAAGGCAGTTTGGAGTAACTAAACTGCTGAAGATATTGACCATTCTGATTGGGTGCTGCTGCTAGAGTTACAGGGATCTATCTGATCTATCTCCTATCTCTCTAATCAAGACTCAAAGTCCTGAAAGGGTTGAAAGGGAGCCTAATTTGACTAACTAGATCATGTACTAGTCAAGAGGGTTGTTACTTGCCCTTTGGCCAGAGTAGGGCAGGGTGTTTTGGTATGCAGTCTACAATAAGGCAACATATAATAAGAGAAATATAATTTTCCAAAACAAAACAGGAAATAGGGTTGTAGAAGAGAAGTATATGCCGGTGACCAAGGAGCAATAGGCATCTGCCACCACTTCCTATCAATATATTTTAATAACTTAAGGTAGGTGAGATTTGATTTTTTGTACTGTAATGAGCCCCATATAAGATCACAGACTAAGTAATTTTAATTTTATTTGTTTGACAGTGAGGGGATAGTGACAAATTTTAACAGCTTAATGGTATCGGAGCTATGTTGTAGGAAGGCTGCGTTACATGGAACAAACAGTGGAAGCAATCAGAAAACAGGAAGAAATAGAATGAGATTCTTCATCAGGGACTGTAATAATCTCAGGGAGAGATAATGAGAGGGTCAACAGAAAGACTATAAAGGAGCAGGCGTACAGCTGTTACCATATCTCCAGGAGAAAATGAATACAGTTTTATAATTGACCAATTTAAGGGGGAATAATAGAGAGCAATGTAAGAATAAAGCCACAGTGCATGGTAAGAGGAATTGGTACACACACACACACACACACACACACACACACACACACACAAACAACACACACACTCCATTTACATCAGAGAGGCACTAAATAGAGCAAAGTCATTGGAGCCACCATTCCCAAAGTAGAAAATAGACTAGGATTTAAAGAATGTTTGACATTTTATGTCACTGACACACCCTGGGCAAACAGAGAATGCGCAGCTTCTCAGTTTGCCACAGAGAGCCATGAGGCTTGAAAGTCAGAACCAGAACCCTAGTAATAGGGAAAATGAGATTTATGCAGGAAACATTGTTTTGCTTCAGATAAAAACTTTTTGGAGATACATGCTACTTAGTAACTCAAGTATTGAAGGATGCAGCAAATCCGTAGACTTTACCTTTTGGGAACTTCAAATAGAACAGATAATGGCTATTCATCCTTACTCTTGAAGATAAAAACAATATTTCCTTTCTTTCCCTTACCCATTCTGAACAGTGTAGAGATGCTGATGAGCAAGTACCTGGTAGAAGTATGACATGTCACTCAAGATTACAGAGTGCATTATGGATGCAAGATAGACGCCAAGAGGAAATCTTTGTGTTGAAGAAAGTAGTACTTGTCCTGTGGGAAACGATGAGGGTATGGTAGGTGGATGCTTGAGAAGAAGAGATAAGTCTCTATGAAAAGGAGCTTCTACAGGATAAGAAGCAAGACAATTAAACTTTTGTACCATAAAATTAGCCAGTAAAACTGAAAGAACAATTCTACAACAAGAAAATTGCTTCACTTGATTTATACTCATATTGATAAAGAATTAGCTTGTTGCTGATCAACATGTACACTGAGAACAACTAGAAAAGCTGCCCAAAATATAAAAAAGATTTATGTTTGAAGACACTGGAGATACGTCAAGGCAGTGAAGATTTGCGGGCCAAGATCATGTAGAGAAAGAAAGCACAAAGAAAAATGAGCCCTACATCCAGTGCCACTTTTCCACTGTGGATACATAAATTCCAAAGCATCATCTGAGAATGTGATGAAAAACTTGTAGCTAAGAAGCTGAGATGATAAATACACTGTTCATCTTTCTACAAGAGATTGAAAAAACAACACAAGCTAATAAAACTGGACACAAAAACATATTCTGTATAATTTCATTTCTACATATAATGGTAACTATTTTATATAAGCCAACTTATTTAAATTAAGATGTTGAAACTAAGAACACCTTGTATCTTTGGTGAGTAGAATGAAGATAGTGATATAGAAGCCAGAGACTAGCTTTTGGTATGCTGGAAATAGTCTACTTTTGATCTATGCGGTGGGTTACAAAGGTATGATCAGGCTGTGATAATTCAAAAAGTTGAACACTTTAGATCTGTACATTTTTACATACAGGCATACCACAGATATATTGTGGGTTTGGCTCCAGACTACCATGATAAAACCAATTTGCCATAAAGCAAGTCACACAAATTTTTTGGTTTCCCAGTGCATATAAATTATGATTAGACTGTACTATAATCTATTAAGTGTACAATATCATTATGTGTAAAAATGTACCTTAATTAAACATACTTTATTACTACACATGCTAATGATTACCTGAGCCTTCAGCGAGTCACATTTTTGTGGTGGAACATCTTGCCTTGATGTTGATGGCTGCTGACTAATCAAGTGGTGGTTGCTGAATGTTGGGGTGGCTGTGGAAATGGGTTGAAATAAGACAACAGTGAAGTTTGCCACATTAATTTACTCTCCTTTCCATGAAAGTTTTCTCTGTATCATGCTGTTTGGTAGCATTTTACCCACACTTGAACATCTTTCAAAATTGAATTTACTTCTCTCAAACCCTGCTGCTGTTTTATCGACTAAGCCTATGTAGTATTCCAAATCTTTTGTTATCATTTGAACAATGTTCACAGCATCTTCACCAGGAGTATATTCTATCTCAAAAAAAAAAAAAAAAAAAAAACTTTCTTTTTTCGTTCATTCATAAGAAGCAACTGCTCATCTATTAAAGTTTTATCATGAGATTGCAGCAATTCAGTCACATCTTCAAGCTCCACTTCTAATTCTAGTCTTCTTGCTATTTTTGCCACATCTGCAGTGACTTCCTCCACTGAAATTTTGAACCCCTCATAGTCATCCAGGAAGGTTAGAATTTACTTCTGCCAAACTCTTGTTAATGTTGATATTTTCACACCCTCACATGAATCATGAATTTTCTTAATGGCATGCAGAATAGTGGATTCTTTCCAGAAGCGTTTCAATTTACTTTACCTAAATTCATAAGAGGAATCACTGTCTATGGTAGCTCTAGCCTTATGAAAAAGATTTCTTAAATAATAAGACTTCGAAGTCTAAATTACTCCTTGGTCTATAGGCTGCAGAATGGATGTTGTGCTGGGAGGCATGAAAACAATATTAATCTTCATGCACATTTCCCTCAGAGCTACCGAGTGACCAGATGCCTTGCCAAAGAGTAGTAATGTTTTGAAATAAATCTTTTTTTCTGAACAGCAGTTCTTAACAGTAGGCTTATAATGTTCACTAAACCATGCTGTAAACATAAAAGGGCTGTCATCCAGGCTTTGTCATTCCATGTATAGAGCAGAAGCAGAGTAGATTTAGCATAAAGCTTAAGGGCCCTATAACTTTTGGAATGGTAAATAGGCACTGGTTTCCACTTAAAGTAACAAGCTGCATTAGCTGCTAACAAGAAAGTCAGCCTGTGTTTTGAAGCTTTGAAGCCAGACATTGACTTCTCCTCTCTAGCTATTAAAGTCCTAAATGACATCTTTTTTTCAATATAAGACTCTTTCATCCACATTGAAAATCTGTTGTTTTGTATAGTTGAGAGGTGAAGCCAGCTGAACTTCTGGGTTAGGTGGGGACTTGGAGAACTTTTCTGTCTTACAGGAGGATTGTAAAATGCACCAATCAGCACTCTAGCTAGGATTGCAAAATGCACCAGTCACCACTCTGTGGCTAGCTAGAGGTTTGTAAAATGGACCAATCAGCACTCTGTAAAATGGACCAACCAGCACGACATGGATGGGGACAAATAAGGGAATAAAAGCTGGCCACCCCAGCCAGCAGTGGCAATGCACTCGGGTTCCCTTCCACACTGTGGAAGCTTTGTTCTTTCACTCTTCACAATAAATCTTGCTACTGCCCACTCTTTGAGTCTGTGCCATCTTTAAGAGCTGTTACACTGTGAAGTTCTGCGGCTTCATTCTTGAAGTCAGCAAGACCACAAATCCACTGGAAGGAACCAACTCCAGACATATAGTCACCTTCAGGTATCTCAGCTAGATCTTCTGGATAACTTGCTGAGGTTTCTACATTAGCACTTGTTTCTGACCATGGTATTTTTACGGGGTGGAGATGTCTTCTTTCCTTAAACTTCATGAACCAACCTCTGTTAGCTTCCAGCTTTAATTGTGCAGCTTCCTTGTCTCTCTTAGCCTTCACAGAATTGAAGAGAGATAGGGCCTTGCTCTGGATTAGGTTTTGACTTGAGGAACTGCTGTGGCCAGTTTGATCTTCCATCCAGACCACTAAAACCTTCTGAATATCAGGATTGAGGCTATTTCACTTTCTTATCATTTGTGTGTTCACTGGAGTAGCACTTTTAATTTCTGTCAAGAACTTTTCCTTGCATGCACAACTTGGTTAACTATTTGGCCCAAGAGGCCTAGCTTTTTGGTCTATTTCAGCTTCTGATGTACCTTCCTCGCTAAACTAAATAATTTCTAGATTTTTATTTGAAGTGAGAGACTTGCAACTCCTTCTTTCACTTGAACATTTAGAGCCCACTGTAGGGTTATTAACAGGACTAATTTCAATATTGTTGTGTCTCAGAGAATAGTAAGGCTTGAAGAGAGAGAGAGCGATGAGAAAACAACCAGTTGGTGAATCAGTCAGAACACACGCATTTATTGATTAAGTCCATCTTCTTATACTCATGTGGTTTGTGGTACCCTCAAAATAATTTCAATAGTCATATCAAAATCCCTGATCACAGAACACCATAATTTGTATTATAAAACTGAAAAAGTTTAAAATATTGCGAGAATTGGCTCACGCCTGTAATCCCAGTGCTTTGGAGGCCGAGGCAGACAGATCACAAAGTCAAGAGATTGAGACCATCCTGGCCAACATGATGAAACCCCGTATCTACTAAAAATACAAAAATTAACTGGACATGGTGGCGTGAGCATGTAATCCCAGATACTCGGGAGGCTGAGGCAGGAGAATCACTTGAACCCGGGAGGCGGAGGTTGCAGTGAGCCGAGATTGCGCCACTGCACTCTAGCCTGGTGACAGAGCAAGACTCTGTCTCAAAATAAACAAATAAATAAATAAATAAATTGTGAGAATTATCAAAATGTGACACAGAGGCACCAAGTGAGCAGACACTATTGGACAAATGACTCCAAAAGACTTGTTTGACACAGGGTTGCCACAAACCATCAATTTCTATAAAGCACAATATATTTGAAGCACAAGAAAAAAGCGCAATAAAGCAAAGTATGTCTGCAAGCACGTTAAACTTCTATTAAACATGTATTAAAATTTGATAAATGATATAAAAATGTGGTTGTATCCAACTTTGATTTTATTGTAGAAACTTGTATTAATATAGTCTAGTAACTATAGCCAAATCTTGACAATATTTTTGTTTAACATTTTCTCTTGTCTCTGAATAATTTAAAACACCTTGTAATATGGGAACAGGAAGTTGCAGTCCTCAGAAAGGGTAGATACCAAGCATTTAAAACAAATGTAGATAATATCATTTGCAGAAACTGAATAAAAATATACCTAACAAGAGTGAAATTACTCATCATATGGAAGCTATTCACAACAAAGAAATAATTTGTAACTATGTTATTGATAAGACTTCTGTGGGTTTTCAACATAGAACATCATTTAAAAATATTTATAATTGAAGAAATGACAATATTTAGAAAATTATAATATTTCTGGTGGGATGAGTTATGACAGTCATTTTTTAATGGCTTAGTAAAACAAAGATGATAAGATATTATGTAGAAATTGACAGTCAATAAGAGACTATGTTATTTGAGTCTAATAAGTGTAATATTCATCATCTAGACAGAAATGACCTCTAAATATTGGAAAAGAAAGAATCAAATTCTTGCAGCTTGTGACATTATTTCTTTATGCTGCCACTAACTCCCTTTACTCACCAAAAACTTTCTCTTTAGTGCTTGATTTCTTGAGTTGTCCTGCCCATATTGAGTATTGTCCTTGGTTTATAAGTAATTTTTTTCAAATATCAGTATCCTGACAAATATTAAGTTAATAGCTGATTATTAATTATTCTAGATTATTAATTAATGTTCTGTGAATTATTATTCTGTGAATTAATGTTCTGTGAATTACAATTGATCTTATTATGATTGACTGTGGATACAACTGAGTATTGTAAGCACTTCCCACAGCACCTGGGACATTACAGGTGCTCAGTAAATTTGTATTATTATATTAGAAAACAGGAATGACCAATACTCAATGAAAACTTGTTGTTGACTAACATCTCATTAGTATGTAATAGAAGTGTACTTTTCAGTGTCTTTGAAATATATTGGAAAAATGCAGGGCAAAATGCTAGTGCTTGTTAGTAATCATAGTAACAAAAGTTATTCCTGCTGCATTCTACATGTTTATTAATTAGGTTTACTGTCCCAAGTGCAGGAGACTCAGTAGATATTAAGTCAAACACAGTTCTTGCCCCATGGAGTTTAGCTGAAAATTAGCAATCAGCACTCAACAAATGTAAATGTAATATGTGCTGCAAATTGTGCTGTGAAACTATATGATAAAGAATTTAACTTAATGTGAGGATAATATGAGTATGTCCAGACTTAAAGGATGAGCCTAATGCGGCCAGGCTAACAGTGGTAGAATGTTTTTTTTTCCAGACAAAGACAATAACATATGCTAAGTTTACAGGGTAGGAAGAAGTTTGACACATGGGATATGAGGTCAGTGTAGTTCATGAGGAGGAGGAACCACCGGAGAAGACTCAGAATGTGTAGCAAGGGAAAAAAGGAAATCCAGGAAAGTGGGTTATCACTGAGGTTATTAAATATATGCAACATTTGGGAAATACCTATATTGAAAATTAGTCATAGCTTCTCTGGTAAGCAAATGTAACTGAGCACCTTGTATTATTTATTTGCTAAATCTGGCAACCCTAGTTATCAGGTAAGTCAAGAGTAGAAAGTGTCAAGGAGGAAATCACCACAATTACAAGTAGTATTTGTGGGGCATTGTGCCAAGAGCTTGGCATGGATTGTGTAGTTTCATATCCCTGCCTTTGGCCTTTCTAATTCACACAGCTGGATCTACTAATGGTCTGATTTGAAGCTCTTGGATGTCCTCATTTGATAATGTTGAACCAGATGAAAAGTGTCAAAGTAATCCCAACTCCATTAGCCCTTGTGTATCGGAATAAAATTGAGCTTTATACAAGCCCTGAAATCTGCGGAGTGCTGAGGGCATGGGGCAGAATAGGCTAGACACTTTCAATATCTCTCTCTATCCCTCTCACAATCCACCCTTATTGACCTACTATCTTTGTGTGATTCCTACTTTGCAGACAGCAGAATATTATTTGAGAAACATAATGTCCTTCTAAGACTAAGTGTCTGTCCTCAAGCTAGTGCTAGTTTTTTGTTGTTGCTGTTTTTGTTTTGTTTTGCTGAATAATATGGTCTTCTCAGATCCTCTTAACTTCCAGAATCCCAAATAATAATTTGCTGCCACCATCATAATCATAATTATTATAATATTTAACATTTGCTGAGTTCTTATTAAATATCAGACACTCTACCAACAGCTTTATATAAATGGTCTCATTAAATTTCTCAACAGTTCAATAATGTTGATATCATCTATTTTTTATATATGTAAAGAAACTGACATCCATATCAAGCCACTTGCCATGATGAGATAACTGAGATTCCCCAAGAGTTACTTATTCAAGTTAAAAGTGAAGTCTATTAATTTTTCACAGAAATAGAAAGAAAAACCTCAAAATTTATATGGAACCACAAAAGACCCCAAATAGCCAAAGCAATCCTAAGCAAAAAGAACAGAGCTGAAAGCATCACTTTGTCTAACTTCAAATTATATTGCAAAGCTATAGTAACCAAAACAGTATGGTATTGGTATAAAAGCAGACACATAGACCAATGGAACCGAATAGAGAACCCAGAAATAAAACTGCACATTTATAGTCAACTCATTTTTGACAAAGCTGTCAAGAGCATACTTTGGTGAAAGGACAGTCTCTTCAATAAATGGTGCTGAGGAAACTGGTTATCCACAGGCAGAAGAATGAAATTAAACCCCATGCCTCAACATATAGAAAAAGTCAAATAAAAATGGATCGAATATTTAAATTTAATATTTGAAACTATCAAACTACTGGAAGAAAATATTAACGAAATGCTCTAAGACATTGATTTGAGCAAAGATTTCTTAAGACCCCAAAAGCACAGGCAACAAAATAAAAATGGACAAATGAGATCACATCAAGCTAAAAAGCTTCCGCACAGCAAAGAAAACAATAACAAAATGAAAAGATAACCCACAGAATGAGAAAAAATATTTGCAAACTGACCCTCTGACAAGTGATTAATAACCAGAACATATAAGAAGTTCGATCAACTCAATAGCAAAATATATCTGATTTAAAAATGGGCAAAAGATCTGAATAGACATTTTTCAAAAGAAGACATACAAATGGCCAACATGTATACGAAAACATGCTCAACATGGCTAATCATCAGAGAAATTCAAATCAAAATTGCAGTGAGACATCAGTTAAAATGGCTTTCACAAAAAAGGCAATAACAAATGCTGGTAAGGAGACACAGAAAGAAGAAACTTTGTACACTTTGGTGGGAATATAAATTACTACATCCACTATGAAGAACAGTTTGGAGGTCCCTCAAAAAACTAACAATAGAACTAACATATGATCCAGCAATTCCACTATTGTCTGTGTACCCACCCCCCCTCAGAAAAAAGGAATTCACTATATTGAAGAAATATCTGCACTTCCACGTTTATTGCAGCACTATTCACAATAGCCAGGATATGGAAGTGTCCATCAACAGATGAATGAATAAAGAAAACGTGGTGTATATATAGACAATGGCATATTATTCAGCAATTAAAAAATAAAATCCCACCATATATAACAACATGGATGGAACTGGAAGTTGTATTTCATGAAATAAGCTAGGCACAGAATGACAAATACTGCATGTCTCATTCATATGTGGGAGCTAAAATGTTAATCTCATGGAGGTAGAGAGTAGAATAATGGTTCCCAGAGGCTGGGAAGGATGGTGGGTCAGGGGGATTAAATATGGGCTGGTTAATGGGTACAAAAATACAGTTAGATAAAAGAAATAAGATATAATGTTCAGTAGCACAATAAGGCAACTATAGTTAACAATAATGTTATATATTTTAATATAACTAAATGTAATTGGAATGTTCCTAATGAGTAAATAATAAATGCTTAAGGTGATGGACTTCCTTATTATTCTGATTTGATCATTAAACACTATGTGCTTGTATTAAAATATTGCATACATCCCCTAAATATGTACAATTATGAATCCATAAAAATTAAAAATTGCTGGGTGCCAGCCGGGCGTGGTGGCTCACGCCTGTAATCCCAGCACTTTGAGAGGCTGAGGCGGACAGATCACGAGGTCAGGAGATGGAGAACATCCTGGCTAACACAGTGAAACCCCGTCTCTACTAAAAATACAAAAAATTTGCTGGGCATGGTGGCAGGTGCCTGTAACCCCAGCTACTCGGGAGGGTGAGGCAGGAGAATGGCTTGAATCTGGGAGGCGGAGCTTGCAGTGAGCCGAAATCCTGCCACTGCACTCCGGCCTGGACAACAGAGCAAGACTCCGCCTCAAAAAAAAAAAAAAATTAAAAATTAAAATGCAATTAGAAAAGTGAATTCACTTGACCAAGACCACTCTGTTAGTAAGTTGTGGGTTCAAATTTTAATTTGCATTTGACTGTCAGCTAAGCCAAGTCTCTTAATAAATACTCTATGCTTATTCTCTACCTCTCTCACATTTTTCCCCATCAACAGGCACAATTTTCTCATCATTTTCAAAGCCTGGTTCTAGTCTGTTTACTTGACCATTTGCCCAAATGTCTCTTTAAGAAACAGAAGCCTGTATCTTCTCAACAGGGTGGTTTTTGTGGATGAGTGTTCCTTTTCACCATGCCATTTTTGCATGCCTTCTACTCAAATCAGCTCTCATTACCTCAAACTTAGTAGATCTATTGTGGCTTTAAAATATCCACATATAATTGGGGTTGAGGGTGCTCCTTAACATATCTCCAACTGTATGTGGAATTGGGGGAAATATTATTTGTGTATTTGGATTAAGATTGTGAATATATTAAAATGTTTGTTTTTTAACATTGGAATTTTTAAAATTTAAATCTTCAATGTAATACAGCAGCTCTTTTTATCTCTATAAATATGTCATTAACTCTAAGTGTAGGCTTTGCTTCACTAAACCTTCTCATTTTTTATGACATTAGTACCTCAGTTTCTGTTTCAGTCAGTTTATCAGATCAATAAAATAAAAAAAAAATTACTGAAAAAACTATTTGAATTGGCAGATCAAACGTCCTGTAAGACTTAAGGGAGATTCTGTAGGCTCTAGGCAATCATTTGAGGAAGCTAAATCTTTACTGGCTTTAGAAAGATGCAAAAATTGCTTAACATTCTCGAATATCAGTTGAAGGGCATAACATTTGTTGTAGAATAAACAAAAAAGATAATCCTAAAAATAAAACATCTATCATTGGCCAGCCAAGGGCTTAAGATCAAATTTTTTTTTTCCAGCAAGACATTTCTAGAAAAAGCAAGAAACAGTTTACTATGCATGATTTTGGGATAGAAGTAAAACTTTAACATAGAATACGCATTTACTCTTAATGTGTTACTAGCTTTAGGAAAAAAAAAAAAACTAAAAAGCTGATAAATGGAATATTTTCCTGTTATAATTGTTTTAAAAAGGTAAGTTCAACATAATGACAAGCTGTCAATTTGGTAAATTAAGATGACGGAAACCTGTGGTGTGCTACTGAAATTAATCTGAGAAGCTCCAGAAATGTTGATGTTTTAGGGTAACAAAACTTTGTCCTATTAAACTTTGTATTATGTAGGACACTTTAACTGCAAGAACAGAAACTCAACCCAAGCATACTTTATGTTAAAAGCAAATGTTTTGGCTCATGTCACTGAAATGCCTATAGCTTAGGATGTGATTGTGCCTAGAGGGCCAAACAATATCTTACATGCTGGCAGTTTTCTCACCATCTTTAATCTCTGTATTCCTCCCTATTGGATTTACTCTCTATTAGGCCTTTGCTATGCTACCCTTACAAGCTTCCAGCTCCAATTTTACTTAAAAGAGAGATTCCATTCTCCCAACAGTGTTGGAAAAGTTTCTGGAATTGAGGTCATTGTCCCTAATTGGGTAATAAGTCAAACTCTGAACCAATAGTTTTGGCCAAGGAGATACAATTATCAGATTGGTAGGCAGGCTTAGAACCAGGGGTTCATTCAACTCTTATCAAACCAGCTGGACTTAGGGGAAGAGAGGAACCCATGGAAACTGGGATGCTGTTGCTAGATGAAGCAAGAACTGATGCTGGAGAGACAAAGCCACAAATGTTCACTATAAGCATCAATCATTTCTCATTCTCCTTTCTCTCGTTTCCTTCCTCTGAATAAAACAAATACTGAAACACCTCTGTTTCTTTTTTCTCTGTATTTACACTTCAATATAGCCTTCACAACTAACAATGGTTCCTTAAATGAGTCATAATGTTTCCATCCTCAGAGTCTTTGTACATGCCAGTTCCCACTGCCTGAAATGTCTGTCTCTCCCTTATTCACTTGGAGTGCTCTTCTGTCTCTTGTTACTACATGGCCAATTCCATTGATGTTCAGTTTAAATGTCAGTTCCTCAAAGAAGACTTGGAGTATAGATTCAGAAACTGTGATTTATCTATTGTGCTCTTAGATTAAAAACCAAATGAAAGCCTTTGTCCCTTTACACATGAGAAAGCATTTGTGTCACTGAAAACCAGAAGTAGAGAGCTAATGAATCTGCTGTATTGCATGACTGTAATCTAAGAACAGACATATACTGAAAATGTAGACAGACAGAGGAGAATACAATCTGAAAAGAGTGAATTATTATGGCTAGAGGGCAATAAATAGAAAAGTTTATTGAAGAGTGAAAAGTTAGAAAGGTCGTAATTCTACAGTGGGTATAGTCTGTATGTATTTTACAGTGTTCTGTGGCTGCATTGGGCCAAATATAAGCTGATGTGTGAAAATTAAAAAAATAAAAACCCAATAGCAATAAAGTCATAAAATCAAAAGTGACTACATAATTGAAAAAATTCAAACAACATTCTGATGACTATTTCTAAAATACCCCTTGTTCAGCTTTGAGAATTGAAAAATAAATAAAACCACAGAGCATACAAAAATATACTTAGAATGAATAAGATCTAGTATTTGATGGCACAACTGAATAATTACAGTCAACAGTAATCTATTATCCATTTTAAAATAACTAAAAAACTATTATTGGAATGTTTGTAACACAAAGAAATTATAAATGCTTGAGATGATAGATACTCCATTTACCTTGATGTGATTATTACACATTGCATGTCTCTATCAAAATATCTCATGTACCCTATAAATATATACATCTACTATCTACCCATAAAAGTTAAAAATTAAAAACAAAACAGAGGAAAAATTTTAAAAAGAATAAAGGCATTTTCCAGGTTATTTTTGTATTACTTTTCAAATCTGTACTTTTGGCTAAGTTCTAAAATTTTAAGTTAACATAATGTTCAGTAAACTTAATGATGTAAAACCCCATTTTCTTTATTTTTGCATTTTTTAGACCAAAGTTCTTTGAATAAAATAAAGGGAACTCTCTTCTTATGATCTGGGATGCTCTCTTCTCTCTGTCCTTGCTTAGCTAACTTCTCCTTAACAAGATGTCAGCTCAAATGCCATTTCTTCAAAGAAATGTTTACCCTGAGTAATTAATAAAAATCCAGCTGCAATGCTCTTACAGCTTTTTGCATTTTTTCCTCACTTATCACATATTTTTACTTGGAGGCTATTTGATTTTTGTCTGCGCTCCCTCCCAGGCTGCAAGTTCCATGAGGGCAGTGTCCATGTCTGTTTTGTTTCTCCACAGTATGTCCAAAATTAAGCCTAGTTCCGAAGAAGGCACTCAATAAATATGTGTGGAATGAGTAAATGTTATTCATCCTCAAGACTCAGCACAAGTACCTGCAGCTCCAGGTAGCCATCCCTGATACCACTGCCTGTAGATGTCCTCCCTTCATCTTTGTCTCAGAGGCCTCTGTATATACCACTGTCCTAGCACCCACCACATTGTACTGCATCCATCATTATCACCCTCCCTCACTTCCTAGAGGGTACCTGACACAGTACCTAAAATACAAAAGGTACTGGAGTAGAGATTCTGTAATGAATGAATGTATAAGTGAAGAAAATAATTAATATGCCCTACTTTCGCCAGTCTCCTTATGCAGAGGCACACGCAGTGTTATAACCTGGCTGAGGAACCAAGAAGTCCCTAAGGAAATACCTCTGAGATACATTCTTCAATTGGAAAAGTTACTACCCAGAGACAAAAGATGCAGTCATAAAGACCTCATCTTTTAAAGATTTTTTTTTTAAAGGTAAGCTTTTAGAATCCTCACTATCTTACAAAGTGAGAAAATATTTTTAGTGACTTGATTCTAAAGTTCGGCAGTGTGACAATATAACAGTGTCGTTAACTACACTTTCCATCATGTGAATGAAGACTAAATAGTTGACACATTCCTCGTGAGGCACTGTGATTCCAGGATGATTCAGCTGCTCTTCACATAGTACATTAAGTGTGAGTGATTCACACCACCTGAGGAGCAGTGTGACTCCTCTTAAAAAATGCTAATAGAAAATCCAAATCACTTCCTCCAGGTCCCTCTCAAATGAAAGAAATGAAGTTATGTTTTTGACTACTAAACTCCCTTTTTATTTGGGATTTGAAAGAGGCTCAAATGCCTTTGTGTATAAGAGAAATTTCATGATTAATAAAATGTGCTTTTGTTGGCAGCTAAGAAATTATACCGGCATTGTGTATGTGTGCATGTGTATGAATAATTGGTTAATATGTCAATTTCATATATAGATATATGTTTTAGATATACTATCCACACATGAATATTATATACATGTATAATATACATCTGTTCTTTCAATAATTGTGTACTGAGCACCAACCATGTACCAGCCAATGCTCTAGGCCCTAGGAGCGGACTATTGAACATAGCATAGAGTTCTTATCCCCATGGAGTTAACATTCTAAGAAGGAATGACATAATAAACAAATAAATAAAACATTCTAATAAATTTTCAGGGATTGAACAGGATAATATGATAACTAGGAAGGAGAATCACTTCTGATATTCCATTTGTATATATACACATATCTGTAATAGGTAAAATGTACAAAACATCTCAATGGAAATCTAGCATATTTTTTAAAAAACACAACAGTGTAATAACTTTATTTTTAAGAAATGTAAATAAGAGCTCTTTTACATTTTCACATTTAAGCAGTCAAATACTTTCATTTACTCTGTGTATTAAAAAAATCAGATGATTTCCAAATTCGGATTTTTCCAAACCTGCAGAATGCTAAAGATAAGATTACTACTGATATGTTTTAAGGTGGCATTCCTAAATATAGCTCTGAGAAGCATCATCTGAGATGCCTTCGAAAATTCCAGATTCTGGTTGACCATATTCAGATCTACATAGTCATGACTTTGTGGATGGGACCTGCAAATATTAAGTATTTTAAAATCTCCCAAGATGATTTAGATAACTGACCAGGTTTAAGATCTATTCATCTAAGATGTTCAGAATGGGCATGCAAAGATTCAGAGCAGTGTTTTCGAGATCCAGGTAAGTAAACTGTCACCGAGTGATATGGTTTGGCTCTGTGTCCCCACCCAAATCTCATCCTGAATTATAATCCCCACATGTCAGTGGAGGGAGCAGGTGGGAGGTGACTGGATCATGGGGGCGGTTTCCCCCATGCTTTTCTTGTGATAGTAAGTAAGTTCTCATGAGAGATGAAGGTTTTAAAGTGTGGCACTTCCTCATTCTCTCACACCTCCCTCCTGCCACCTTGTGAAGAAGGTGCCTGCTTCCCGTTTGCCTTCTGGCATGATTGTAAGTTTCCTGAGGGCTCCTAGCCACGCTCCCTGTTAAGCCTCCAGAACTGTGAGTCAAAGAAACCTCTTTCCTTTATAAGTACCCAGCCTCCAGTAGTATTCTTAATATCAGTGTGAGAACAGACTAATACACACGTCTTGATAAAAATGCAGATTACTGATCCCAGCCTAGGGATCCTGATTCACCAGATCTAGAGAGCTGTTTGTCTAGCTTTTGTAAAACTCCCTCGAGTATTCTAACGCACAACTACATTTTTGGAAATCATTGTTTTGAAAAAAATATGTCAGACAGAAAAATTGCCTGTAGGTACAAATATGGTAATTCTTTCCACAAACGTGGGGCAGACTACCAACAAATTTTCAAACAGCTTCTTTTTATAAAAAATGCTACAGAGTATGCCAACTCCTAATGTAGCTTCATAAGAAAATGCTTTTTTGGAAGAAACGTGAATAGATGTTTACAATGGCTGAGAGAAATGTATATTTCGCTAGCTAGTTTCCAGGAGCATCTACTGGTTATTGCATGTAAATGAGAACAAAAGCTATAATTTATGCATGCATGAGGAGATTTCAGAATTGCTCTGACGTTATTCCTTAAGAGAGTTGTTGGGCATGAAGACCATAATGATGAAGTCGACGTTTATCCAGACATGAAACTTAGTGTGCTTTATTTCCTCATGTTTGTTTTCCTTTTACTTGGAGAATATAACTCTGTCTTAACCCTTTTCTAGTCATCCCTTGATCCCTACCGAGTTATTATCCCTCTCAACGAATGACTTACACTAGTTGAAACAAAAATTTCTCATCTTGAGCTGAAAACTATGGGAGAGGAAGTGGTTGGAATGGGATGTACGGCTGTTGGTTCAAGTAAAAAAAATAAAGGGAAAATGTGCAGATGGGCAGGAAGGCATGGTTTCCTCAGAGCACCTCAATGTGGAGCAATGATGTCTAGGTGGGAATGCATATCATAATGGCATATTATGAACAACACAAGAGCTTTGAAACACCTCAGAAATCAGTCTCAAAAGAGGGCAAGTGTGTGGAAAATATTTGGTGAAAGAGAAGGGAAGAAATAGATAAATTATTGTATGGCCTATGATTACTGAAAAGTAAATACCTTACAAATCTACTGTAATTTAAACTATCTTGCACTGAGTAAGAGAATTGACCTACAGCTCAACAGAAGAAAATATAATTTCTAGAAAAAGAACTGATTATATATGCAAATTTAAAAAGCATTTAAATTAAACAATATAGATTGGTGGAATAATCATAAATCAAGTAATGAAAACAGTAATAATCAATAAGCTGTTGCTATTTTTAAATATATTATCAAATATAATAAAATGAGATTTTAGCCTTTTGGAGTTGAGCTTAAAGAACAACTTGGAAGCTGTATGTCCTTATCCCATTCTGTCATCTCGGCTTTGAGATGGCATATCCTGAACTCACCAAATAGTTCATATCTTTAGGAGCATTGCCCTTCAATTACCATATCAAGCTTCTTTCTACAAAGTTCCACTCTGGAAAGTCAAGTCTCTATTCTCAGAAGCTTGTGAGTTTCCTTGATACAGAACTAAAGAAGAGAAAAAGATAAAATAACACAGTCGTTTTTAGAAGGAAAGTGTCCGCATTTATCTCAGGTTGATAGTTATTAATATAATACATCTCAGATTATAAATACATCATAATGTTGGTAAAGAGAGAGTTTTTAATTTAATGCCATTAATTATGAAAAAAACATTCCATAGACATTACCTAAAAATATAGCATGTCAGTATAGTCTCATCAACAATACCATCTTTGTTTTTACTTTGCTAAGATGACAGATGTCATTGTATGTTTTTGTCATGCACATGATTTAAAATATACAATATATACATTCATTATATACACAGCATTTTATATATATATACACACACACACACACAAACACGTATACACAAATTGTGAAATGGTTAAATCTAGCTAATTAAGAAATGCATTACCTCTAGTTATCCTTTTATAAAAAATAGTTATTATTTCTGTGGTAAGAACACATAACAAATATCCACTTTCTTTTTTATGAATAGAATATATCACCCTTAACTATAGTCAACTTGCTGCACAATAGATCTCTTGAAATTTTCCTCTATCTTATTAGGTATCCTTTGACCAACAACATCTTCCCATCTCTCTATCTCTGCCAACCACCTCTGCCACTGGTAACTACCATTATACTCTCTACCTTCTATAATATAAAATTTTTAAGATTCCAGTTACGAGTGAGATCATGAGGTACTTGTCTTTCTGTGCCTGGCTTATTTTATTTGACATAATGTCTTCCAGGTTCATTCATGTGGTTGCAAATTACAGGATTCTTTTCCTTTTATGACTCAATAGTATTTCATTCTGTATATACACAACACAGTTTCCTTATTCATTCACCTATCAATGGAAATTAGGTTGATTCTATGTCTTGGCTATTGTGAATAGTGCTTTAATAAACATGATAGTACAGGTATGTCTTGAAAATGCTGAATTCCTTTTTTAAATATATACTCAGTAGAGAAATTGCTGAATAATATGTTAGTTCTATTTTTAACTTTTGAAAAATTCCATACTATTTTTCATAGTAGTTGTACTAATTTATGTTTTCTCTGATAGTGTGTAAGGGTTCCCCTTTCTCCACATCCATGCCAATATCTGTTATCTTTGTATTTGATAATAGACTTTCTAACTAGGGAGAGATGATATCTCATTGTGGTTTTGATTTACATTTCCTTGATGTTTAGTGATGTTGAGTAATTTTTTATATACTTGTTGACAATTTCTATGTCTTTTTTTGATAAATTTCTACTTAGATCTTTTGCTTATTTTTAAATTATGTTATTTTATTTTTTGCTGTTGAGTTGTTTGAGTTCCTTATCTATTTTGGATATTAACCGCTTATCAAATGTATAGTTTACAAATATTTTCTCTCATTCTGTAGGTTGTCACTTATTCTTTAACAACACTGTCTTTAGGTATTTGTATTTACACTGAGTACAAACTGAAATTGATGTTGTTTGGCTAAATAGTAGAAATTATTTCTCATATCCAAGAATGCTTGCTGAGAATCAGTTCTCACAGATAATTTTGCAAAATGACAAGACTATAATGATTCTAAGTAAAATAGCATTAAATGACTCTGAAGCATCCACTGTTTCCAGTTTTGAACTGAAACGAAGCCAACAGAAACAAACAAGTTTATTACAGGCTTCTGCCAAATGAATAGCAAAAAATAATCCATTGCAAAAAACGAAAAGCCCCCATTATTTTTGCTCATGTCCCTTACAGTGTGCCATCAATGTATAACAAAACTAAAGCCTGATGCATTTAGAAATAATATTTTTATTTTAACACTTACCCAGGCACCTATACACATCTTTTTACATATGTAAACAGACTAAAAGTTAATATTTATCATAATTTGCTATTTTTTGGCACATGTAATTATAACAAGGCTTTTTATATAATTCATATTATTACTTGATATTTAAAATGCATGCTCTGTGGTTTGTTGCAGGACACTGCTGTACATAATTAGCACTTATTTTAAAAATATTCAACCAGAACTTTTTTTAAAAAGGTTATTACTAAATGACAATACAACTATTTTTTTTCAGTGGCTTGTAACAAAACAGAACGTATTTACAATTTGACAATGCATTATTTTGAAAACTATCCTTTCTAAGGTCTAATTTCTCCAGATTTAATAAACTTTTTCTGGTGAAATTTTTCTTCACAAATCAACATCGAACACATCATTCAAATATAATTTCAATCTATTGTCATGTTCTATTTAATCTAATCAGTTTTCCAAATATTAAGGTTGAATATACTAATCACATCATCCTATGTGATAGATCCAACAAGTAAAGAAATCTTACTGGAAACTTTCTTATACATGCAAAAGTATCAGGCCTTCCATTAATTTATTTTAAACACTTTTCAAATTCTACCTTATTTGATTTCCCCCCCACTCCTTCAAGGCTCCCAAAAGTCTCAGAATGAAAAATGAAAAGCTACAACATTAACTTATATACACATTAGCTCTTACCATCTATATTAGGGGCATTGTTTCATCTGTTTTAGCAGGTGTAGAATGGACTGAAAGTTAATTGGAAAAGTATTTCAGAACAAAAAGTGGCAGTACAAGGTCAAACAGTTTTTGGAGACATAATGTTTCATACTTTTTATTGGAAAAAATGCTCAATTGAAGAAAAATTTTCTAGTTTTTAAAAAACAGTAGGGAAAGATTTGTCTATGTAAAACCTGGCTATGATACGTGAAGAAAATAAAAAAAAAAAACTTTCTTCAGATCCACTTTACTTAGCAGGTTAAGAAGCATTTGTCACTATAGCCTTCAAAAGCCCTTTACGTGAGCTTGGTCTATTTTTTCTAAGTGTCCTCCATAACATTTTTTGTTTCTAGACCAGGGACTGCTCTCTCCACCTTCCAAAATCCTGGACATCTATTGACATTATGTCTAAAACCCTTCTCTTTTCAGTTACCTTCCACGGCTACCTGTCTGAATATTATACATGTTACTGACCCTTAGAACTTAATCTGCATGTATTACCACTATGTATATTTTTGTTCTACCTAGTCATCAATATTGTAACTTTTTGAGGCCACAGATATATCTGATTCATCTTTGTAGCTTCTAGAACACGGTTATATGCACAAAATTAACATGCTGACTTGAATGGATTTGAATAATTATGGCCCATTAAATCTATGGAAAGAGCATCAACTTTTGGTTAAAAAGCTCCTGATGTCCAACATCTAGGTCTAATCCAAATACATGGGTACCTGCAGTCATAAACCAAGCTCCCTCTTGAAAACAATGTTTTCAGTTATTATGATAAAATCAAATGTTGGAGTGTTTCAAGCCATTGTCAAAATGTCATTCAATCAGATGAAAGTAGAATCAACAAGGAAAAAATAGATGGAGGAAATAAAATATATCTAAAGTTTATGAAATTGTTTTGAAGTGATCTTTAAAATTATAATGTACTATAAAAATAATCTATGAAACACTAGGCAACTATCATACAAATAGTTCCTTTTCTGGCACAATACTGATGGTGGTTAATATTTCTTTGGTATTTGCTATCTGACAAATATGTGCTAAGCACATTAGATTTATTATTTCATTTGTTATACAGTGGTCCCAAATTACTATGTATCACTGATTCATAATAATCCTGTAGCTTATTGTGAGCATGACCATTTTAAAGATGAGGAAACTGAGTGTGACAACATAATTGTGTACTCACTGTATATGCCTCTCCACACTTCCCATTGCACCTGACTGAAGCTGAGGTTATGTGACTAGCCCTGGACAATTGACTATGTGTGGAATTAATAGGTATTACTCGATGTACAGTATATAGCATGAGTTTGAGGTTGCTAAATTCTTTATTCCCCGGGAATGAGACTTTGAGATGATGATGATGATGTCAAAATATTTAAGTAGGCCTGGCGCGGTGGCTCATGCCTGTAATCCCAGCACTTTGGGAGGCCAAGGCGGGCGGATCACGAGATCAGGCGATCAGGACCATCCTGGCTAACACAGTGAAACCCTGTCTCTACTAAAAATACAAAAAATTAGCCGGGCGTGGTGGTGGGCACCTGTAGTCCTAGCTACCCAGGAGGCTGAGGCAGGAGGCGAAGCTTGCAGTGAGCCGAGATGGCACCACTACACTTTAGCCTGGGCGACAGAGCGAGACTCCGTCTCAAAAAAATAAAAATAAATAAAAAAAATTAAAGCATTCTGGCCTGCTTGGTAGTCAAATGTGTTCAGATTTCAAATGTGGCATGGTCTCTGATCTGCAGATTGAATGAGCAAGAAATATATCTTTGCTGTGTTAAGCCACTGGCATTTGGGACCTACGTTGTTACCACAGTATGACATAACCTACTCTAGCAAGTGTTCTAGGGCTTCAAATTTTATTTTCGATTTTGAAAAGAAGTTTAGTAACGTTAAAAGAAGTTTATTTTATGCCAGCACTTACAGTCTTTCACAGTATGTTTCTTATAGAAAAGCAAGTCCAAGTGGTTTCTCTGGAATATAATTGCCTACGTCATACGTGTAGCATCAACAAAACATCACTGGCTTTCTTTGTTGGGACTAGTGAATGGTATCTAAGAAAGTTCATTCTGTGGAGATCGGAGATGAGAGAAGCAATTGCTTCCTGAGGTGGTACTTTATCCTAATCAAATCCTCTCTCTGGGAAATACAAATTCTAGGTACACAGGAAGAAGCGAGGTACTGGAGTTTAGCCCCAATTTTTTAAATTATACTGAGCTCAGGCTCCAATTCTCCATGAGATCATTTATATGAGCTTGGAAGTCTGAGATCCAAAATAAATGTCAAGCTGCCAAGGATGTTTCCCCAGCTATTTTCCTTTCTATGTGTCCTTACAATAAATCCACAGCAACGAAGATAATCTGACCTTGTCTTTTCTTGGAAATCACAAAGAACTTAATAAAGATATTTATTTCTTTTTTTAAAAGCATGTTTTCAAAGGCTGGAATGATACTGGCATGTGTATTACCCTAAGTGTCCTACAAAATTGTAACCTAAGTATGCTATACTTTTAACAAGGTGTTCCACAATTACATTTTCTAAAATGGGTATCTATTTGTAGTTATCTGCAAAAATTACAATCAGCAGATTCCAAATTGTTATGAATTATGTTGCTTTTCTAATTTTTAAGTTTATGTGCTGTGTGTGTGTATGTGTGTGTGTGTGTGTGTGTGTGTGTGTGTGTTATCAGAAACTCAGATTGCTGCTGTCTTTTTTCACAAGAAAGCCCTGTTTATCCTTAATAAGACAACTTTGCATGCAAAAATTTTGCAACTAAAATGACCTAGAAGGACACGTGCTTTTTAGCATACTAATTGCTTTTGCCATGACGAGAAAATAATATCTTGTAGCTGGCTTTGCATTTCCTAAGCTACATATGTAGACATCCACATCCAGGAGGAAAATTCATTTTAATGTGCTTTGTAATTTTCATAAATGATTGCCTAGTGGACCTGCAGGTCCCACTGGGCCTTGGGTACGGTACAGCACATGGATTTGCAGCTGTGATATTATTATAGATGTGTGACAGCTCAATTGAAAAATAATGGCAAAAGGGAGGAGAAGTCAAGTTTAATGGCCATTGCAAGCTAAAATGTTAATCTAGTTATTGTTTTAGTGTTTAATTAATAATAATTGGTTTCTTAAAACATCTAGGTAAAAATTATAGATGCCAAGTCCTCATTAAAATGATGAGCATGCTGGTTGTCTTAGTACATTTTCTGCTGCTATAACAGAATGCCAAAAGTTTATAAACAATAGAAATGTATTTGGCTTATGGTTCTGGAGGTTCAGAAGTCCAAGAGCATGGCACAGGCCTCTCTGGCAAAGGCCTTATCATGTGGCAAAAGGGTACAAGGGCTAAAGAGCAGAAAGGTGAGGGAACAAGTGAGCACAAGAGACAGAGGGAGAAAATTAGGAAATTTTCATTTTTTTAATCAGCATCTTACTCCCACAATAACTAACCCACTCCCTGGATAATGCATTTAACCATTCACAAGGGAAGAGTCCTCATGACCTATTCACCTCTTAAAGCCTGTGAGATCAAGTGAGGTATCTTAGAGAGTGTAGAGACTAGAGAAAAGCAGGCTTAGTGCAAACCTCAGAGACACACTAGAACTTACATGGTCAGAGGGCCCCGAAAACAAACAAACAAAACAAAAAAAAACCCCCAAAAAACCCAGAAAGAATTATCCACAGTAAGAAATGGAAGAAGAGAGAGTTTAATGTCACAGGACCCAAGAGAATAATATATTTTAGGGGAGAAGTAGTTGTTATAAATAGTGACAAACAATTTAGAGAGATCAAGTCCGATAATGCCTGAAAAATGGCCATTGTATTTAACATCTAGAGACTTTTTCCTATCTTTGTTGAGATCAGATTCAATAGAATGGTAAGGGAAGAAGACAAATGATCATGTGTTTAATGTTTGATGTACAAGAGATAAATGAGTAGAGACATTCTCTCAAGCAAGTTGACCCTAGAAGAAAAGAACAAGAGATGCTGCTAGTTTGATAGGGATATTAGATTAGAATATATGATATATATATACATATATATATATGTATATGTATATGTATATGTATATATATATATAAACTCACCCATAATTTTGCAAAATGACAGGAGCATAATGGTTCTAAGTAAAATAGCATTAAGTGACTCTGAAGCATCCACTATTTCCAGTTTTGAACTGAAATGAAGCCAACAGAAACAAACAAGTTTATTACAGGCCTCTGCCAAATGAATAGCAGAAAATAATCTATTGCAAAAAATGAAAAGCCCCCATTATTTTTGCTCACGTCCCTTACAGTGTGCTATCAGTGTATAACAAAATTAAAGCCTGATGCATTTAGAAATAATATTTTTAACACTTATTAAAATGTTAAAATATGGTACATATATGAATATATACCTTATGGATTGGTGCAAAATAATTGCGGGTTTTCCCATTACTTTCAATGCCAAGACTGCAACTAGTTTTGCACCAACCACATGTGTATACATATATATATATATATATATATTTTCACACACAAATATACATACGTATGCATGTATATGTATGTATATGTGTGTATGTATACGTATATATGTGTATGTATCTGTATGTGTGTATGTATACATATGTGTATGTATATGTATATATGTGTGTATTATATGTATATATGTATTATATGTATCATATCAAAAATATCTCATATACATATAAATTATATATATAATATAGGTATTTGATGATATTTAAATTCTTTCAGAAAGAAGTCAGTAGAAGAAGATATACAAGATAAAAAAGGGAAAAAGGAATTGTTAACAGATAATTGGGCACAGAAGGTACCAGATGCAGATATATAGAAACTAGTTTATCTTTTTCTTTGCATTGAAAAATACAAACCATGGTATTACAAAAAGCAATACTGAGTATTCATATATCTAAATGTTTTAACTCAGCTTAGATGATCATCCCATCCTTGATTCTTTGTCTTCAAACTTTCTCAAAGATTCTGGAATCAGATGTTAGGACAGTCATGCATTGAATGATTTTACCTGGCTTTTTGAAAGAATTAAAAATATAAAGAAGCTAAGTAAGTAGATATGCCACTCCTTTACCATACTTCTGTTATCAAACTGAAGGGGAATCCACTCTTATGTACAGCAAGGCCATATATCCACACAGAGGTTTGCAGTGAGAGAAAGAAGTGTGCTTGCAGGGCACCAGGCAAGGTAAATTGGGTAGCTCAAAGGTAAGACCCAATTTTCCCAATGGCTCACAGGTAAGGATTTTTAATAGCAGGGAGGCAGTTAAAGCAACCTCACAAATCAATACGTAGAGGCCATACATTGTTTTGACCTAAAAAGACAAGACATCTCAAAGCAGGGGCTTACAGGTCATAGGTAGATTCAAAGATTTTTCTGATTTTCAATTGGTTAAGAAGGTGAAGCTTTGTCTGAACTTTGGGGTCAGCAGAAAAGAATGTTAGCTCTGACTGTAGGTGTGACTTCCTCCAAACCCCTCAGGAAGAATTTCAGAATAAAGAACAGCTGTCAGAGGTCAGTCCTCAGTTCTCCTATGTCTGAGGTCTACCTGCCAGTGAATCTCTATGGTGGGGGATCCAGGTTTCTGAAAAACAACTCAGAAACGTAAGTTATCTTTAGTTTCTGTAGGGAACATCCCATAATTCTAACCTCCATGGCTATTGTTTTAAGCTACTGTTACCTTCTTGCTTCTAAAGTTACTCTTTTACTTCTTAGTGCTAGTTAGTTAGTTGCTTAGTTAGGTTCCCTTGAAGGAACTCAAGATTTTCCTTTATTTCCATGCTGGTTGCGGAGTGTTGCAGGGTGCCCAGCAGCCCCCTTAGAGGGTGTCCCTGTTCTGTTTCACCTTTACAACTTGTGCACAGTTACGTATGGTTTGTACAGGAAAATAAGTGAAGCAATAGTCCCAAATTGTATAACTTTAACATTCTTATAAGTTTCTATGGAAATACCATACAAAACCTTATCTCTTTCCATTTTTCTATCTATCTATCTATCTATCTATCTATCTATCTATCTATCTATCTATCTATTCCCATGTATTTTTTTGTGTTTCAGATGAAAGGTTTAATTCTGTAATTTCTGTGTATTTTATAAGCGTACTTGTGTTTATTTAGTAAATCTGTATTCTGTATATTTTTTCAAATTACGTGGAAATATATATTTAGTTAAATAAAGACTATAGGAATGAAACCTTCACCAGAACCTTAAAAATATACTTGAGGAAGTTACTCTGTTAAAAAATATAAATAGGCAGATGTCCAATTATTTAGTTGCTTTTAGAAATATAGTTTCCCCTCGAGGCAAAAACATCATCTGGATTCTGAATTAAAGCTCTCAAGTATAGAAGGATTAAATATAGAAGAAAATTGATTAGCTTTTTATACAACTATCTCGTAATCCAATTCACCAAAAAATTATACAGTGCACAATGACCATTTAATTTATAAAGAGCTCATTAATTTCATTGTTGTTTTAATCAATGTTCAAAGAGGATTTTGAAGATATTGCTGCTATGTGGCTTAAGGCCGTACATATCCACATTCAATCCCAAATGCATTTTATAACAGATGGGAATAAAAATGACATGGACTCATAGCAATCTGAAAATGACTTTATAGTTTGCTAAATTTATACAACATTTTCACTTAAAATGAAGAATTTTTAGAAAGCAACATACTCATTTTTAATTTCTTCATGTATCTTTCCTTGGACAGATGGAAAAAAGCCAAACAATAACTAACAATGTATCAACAACATAATGGAATTCGTGCTTTAACAAATTGACTAAATAATGGCTCACATTTAGAAAAATTGATTTTTAAGTAGTCTATTTACAGTCTTCATCTATATTTTAAAGACATTTATTTCAAAGGTGTTAAACACTGTATATTTGGTTTGTTAGGTAATGCAATGTATCACGTTTTGGCTTTAGGGCAAAGAAAATAAACATACCAACTACTCTAGAAACAAGAGCTTCCAAGAAGAGTGAGAGAGAAAGGGACTGAGAAGACTGCTGAAACTTCTGAGGAAAAAAAAAAGAATCTGGCATATTCTAGCATCTTCCATCAGGGAGGCCATAGAGAAAGTCACAAGAGCTTAGGACAGGTGGAATAACGCCTACAATTCCTCCTGCTGTGAGAGGTGTGCAAATTAAACTTCACTGGCTCCACAGGTAAGAGTAAAAGGCATTGCAAAGCCAGCCACCCCTCCCTACAGGAAAATTCACGACACTGAATTCTAGGAGCTGCTACGTACATGAAACTCTCCAGACCCTACCCACAGAAATGAAGAAATGACCCCAATATTGCATGAAATGTGTTCCTAGCAAGAAAACTACATCATACCATAGTAGCTGACTCTGCTATTTTGAAAATCAATGTTTCTTGATTATGAGTTAATTTAACCCTTTACGTTTACAACAGAGGTAGGTAGTGACTTGAGCCTTATTTCATCCTTCATGGCACATTAAGGCAGAGAAAGCAAACCACAAATCTCCCCATAATTAAGAAATTAAGTTCTATGCAAATCATACAAATTCTTATAATCATCTTCCACTTAACTTCGAATGTGGAGACTTGACCTTAGCACAGCAAATTTTAGGTTGATTTCCCTCTCAGCAGCTGCCTGCCTCTTTTTAAATGACTCACCAAGCTTATCATATATCATACACTTGTTTAAAGGTCTTGGCCTTAATTAGCAAGGGTACAATTCAATAGCACATGTAGTAATTGTCCTGGAGGTAAAAGCTTAATGTCAACTAAAGTGACAAATCACAAACATCAGGTCAGCCAGATGCACAAGTTAGCAAAAGAAAAAGATTTTTTCAAAAAAATATGTAACCCTCCGGAACCAAAATGCCATGTGATCTTGCAGAAGAAGTAGGCTATGTGTTCATTTGTTTGTTGATTTTCTTGTTTGTTTTGAGGCAAAGGGACTAAGAAATCAGTGATATTTTTCTTCAGCATAGTTTATATTTACATACTGTATTTACATTTGGAGAGAAATTAAATTTTCAGTAGAAAGAAACTCCTATGTACAGGATTATAAAAATGTAAAAGAAATATATATGAAGCACCAAACTTTTTAGGTCAAGCACAAGAGAAACCTGGGTAATTTAAGAAGTAGAAACAATTGGAAAATCACTTTCGGCCATGAATCGGGCAAGACTCAATTTCCCAGCAGAAAAACCTGGGGTGGAGTTTCACATCCATCTGTTGGATGGTCAAGCAGCCAAAAGTATACCTTTTGTATACTTTTGTATACTTTATTCAAAAGTATACAAAAGGTAAGGGAGAGAAGTTATAATTGGATATCTGGCCTGTACCTTACCAATACCCTTAGGTACATTTATTTTCTGCTAAAATTATCAATAGTTTATTTTCCTTGCTATTTCAAAGGCAGACTAATCTGCTCTTACACCATTAAGCCTATGCGGTACCTGCCTACAATGTATCAGGTACCACATAGTATAAACTGAAAATTGATAATTAAATAACCTTAAGTTTTTGAACTCAACCCATACTAACATAAATAGGATTGACAACTGAATTTGCAGTCCAAGAAGAGCTATGCTAGATGCATGTGGCTAACAACATTTTTTCATGAAGCAATTTGTGATATTCCACAGGAAAGGAAAGATAGATCTTTAGGTAGAAAAATATCCCGGAGCTTACCACCCATCCATGTCAGCCCTACTGTTCACCGTTGGAAAACAACGACAACTGTTTGTAAGTTGACCATAAAATGAAATTTAAGTTTGGCTGCCTTCTTTCATCATAATATCCCTGGCACACTTGCTTCTATTTGTCTGATTATTCCCTTATCCACTGCAGAGGAGAGGATTACTTTATTGCTAAGACATGAGGGAGAAAAGAAAACCTCTCTTGAATTTAGAGGACATTAAAAACTCCTCATAGCATCCTAGTGTGGTTGTATGTTTGTGTTGGAGGGGAAATTTTCCCATGTGATATACCCGCTGATAATTCTCTAGATAATCTGTCTACACAATGTTTCAAAAATGTTTGCAAAACAAAATAGTTATGAACACATAAGCTATTTGAAAGTGTATTTCTGGACAACATGCTATGCACAAATATTTTGATTCTTTAAAAGTAATAATTTAATATTTTAGTGCAATAAAGGAACTCACAGTCTACTAAACTTCAAAAATTGCTTCTAATCTAGAGCATCCCCTGTGACTTTTTAAATAAATTTTAATGTATATTTATTATTAAGGGTAATAAAGTAGCACAGCTTATTTAAAACACAATAATAGGCTTATTAAACTTTGGTAAATTGCTTGCGGATTCTTCAGAGAGATTTTCTTTTGCCTAAAATAGTGCCCTCCTTCTCTGCAGAGTCTCATGAACTTTATATCCCCTGACTGGGATTAGAATTCTTTCTGCTGCAGTGGAGCTACATTCTAAGTGTGTTGTCATGAACAGCCAGTGTCCCAAGATAATACATTGAAAAGGTCATTGAGATGTCTTTGGGATTGCACAAGAATATGGTAGGAGTGAAGCAATTGACTTGTAAATTTGGCTACTTTGTGTCCACACTTTTTTATTCACTCTATCATAAACATTAACACTGTAGAAATATTTTATTTTTCTTGAAGCCTCTTGCAACACCTCTCCTTCTGAAAAACACACACATTCTCATCCTGATGAAGCCAGTTTGCTAATCAGCCAAGGTGCACCAAAAAGTCAAGTGCAATCACGTATTAAGAAAGAAGCTATGAGGGAAAAAGGTATTTAAGAATCAGAAGCAGAAGTCATATTAGGTGTAAATGCTTCTGTCTCTAAACTTAGAAGATTTTTCTTCGTGACATTTAATTTCTGTTCTCATCTATATTACTCATCTGCCTTTCTAATTAACATTTTGCATTAACTGCCAATATCAACCTCTTCTATTGGTTTATGTCAATATGAAGCTAATTCCTTTCAGCAAAGTAGGTCTTGAAGCAGTTCTAACCAACCATAGTGAACTCTAAAGAGATGGCTTGTTTAGACGTAAGTCAATGTTTTTGTTCAGTTCCTCAATTTTTAAAATAGAAACATCATTGTTTTATTCACAACTGTTTAATGTGGTCAAATCAAGGGATGTTGCAGGTGAAACTTCTGTTCCAATAACTTTCTGTAGTAATGCATGATAATAATTATTGAGACAAATAGACTAAAAGACCATTCTCACATTGACCTTTGGGAACTAACTTTGGATCATGCTTACTGGTTTTAAAGAATCTTCTATAAAAATATAACCTAGGAATGGGATTAAAACAGACGTGGCTCCTACAAGAACTCATTTCTACCATGACCCTGACAATTTAAACCACACAGAAATACAATTAATCAGCATTGGGAAACTGTTCAGGATTATAAGATCAAATGAAAATTGTTTTCCTCTAAAACAGGGTTTCTCAACCATAACAGAATACAAAAAACCCATGAGGAGCTTTTAACAAAGTACTCACGTCCAGATCTCAATGAACGAACCGAACAAACAAAAGTCAAGATTTTCTGGTGATGAGACCCACACATTGGTATTATTTCAGAGCTCCCCAGGTGCCGCCAATGAGTAGCTAGGGTTGACTAGAAAGGACAATGTACACACATACACACACACACACACACACACACACACACCACAAAACTCCCAAAGTAGTCATTTCAAGATTCCAGTGAATTGGATTAAAATTTATTCCCTGAGTTTCTAAGATTCATAGATAGAGATGTTCCCTAAACCATAGTGGCAAAATTTCTCATGGATATTTTGCTGAATAAGAAATGCACACGTTTTCCAAAATACATTAGTTGGCTGATAAAGATTGAAAAAGACTTCAAAGAGGATAGAGTTGAGCACAGCATTCCTCAGTTCAGAACTATTGGGGGAAATTCATAAGACTTCAAGAACCAAGAACTGTGTTTATCAGAAATAAATTCTTTAATACTATGGTTGCTTTTATGTTTTTCTTAGAACTGCTAAACAAATTTATGGGAGGCCATTGTTTTAGGCTCCTACACTAGGCCTCATCAGACCAGATTACACCTGAATGGAATCACTTGTATAAAGTGCCACGTAATGAACCAGAACTATGAAAGGGGCTAGTTTTCCCCAAATCCACAGATTCCAGGAAACATGAGTCATTGTAACAAGGAAGTCCACATGTGTTTTAACCCCGTAAGGAAAGTAACTTGGAAATGAGCAACCCACCTTTTGTTTTCTGCTTCTGCTTTCTTCAGTTCTTTTCTGCCTATAAAGCCAAACCCTTCTGCTTAGCTCATCAGAACACTTACTCTATTTTACAAAATAAGATGTTGCCTGATTGTAGAATTATAAATAAAAGCCAGTTAAGATCTTTAAACTAAATTTATTGTTTTTTTTTTTATTTTGACAATTCTTTCAGATATTTTCCAAATAATTCTTACAAAATGCTACTTAAAAACAAATCATTATTCTCTTGGAGGTCATCTATGTTAAATATTAATTTTTTCTGTCATTGAAAGAAATACAACATGATTTTTTGCTTGTTATTCTTGTGGGTCGTTTTTTCTCCATCATGAATTTGTTATCAAACTTAGGAATTTTCTGGATGTAATATTATTTATTACCTCAGTTGATTCTTCATCAGTTTAGAAGCCCATTTTTTAGCATGTGCATAATCACTCTCTCTCTCTCTCTCTCTCTCTCTAATTATTTTCCACTGTGTAACACTGGTATTTGTGTCTTCCTGTTCATCACTGCCTAAATTCTCTTCTTGGATCTGAAGTTCTATCATATTGGTCTTTGTATTGGATCTTTCAGGCTTGTTAGTGTGGGTCAAGAAAGTGAAAGTGATTTCAATTATGTGTGGTGAATCTTTTAAGAATGTGAGCAGGAATGCCAGTAAAGATAATGGGACCTAGGTGGCCCATATTAGCCCAATTCACAGTAAAACAACTCACGGGTAGGAATATGCAGATTAGAAAACTACCAGTGAATAGTTATACATAATTTTTCACATATTATCCTAATGTCTCCACATCCCACTAACTCTTGAATGCACTACCCAACTTGTACTGACTCCTCATCCTCTTCTGTACACATGGGAAATAAAATTCCTTAAAATCTCTCCCAGGTTATATTTTTGGAACTTCCCTGAACTTATATTGACTTACAAATAATATTCTGATTTTGATGCTGCTGATGCCCCCTCACTTACGCTTCAATTCTCATAATCCACAACATTTCAACAATCGCTAACTGAGATGCCCTTTAACACTGGTTTACCCACACAGTGAAGTACTGTGCAGCTCAACAAGTCCTTCTAAGTGATTAAAACTTTTAACTAACAAACCTTATTTTCCCAAAATAAAAAAAATTAACCATTTTTCTTGATCACATCAGGACCAGTCACCATGCAGTGTTCAAGAATCCACTTGTCTGAAGCTCATGATCCATTGTGAAATCTAGTTTATTGAGTCAGCCCACATATTCCTTTATACCCTCGTTGCAATAGGAATACCTTTATCTCCCCTCTCCCCAGCCCACAGTACAATAGTCAAACCCATTTCTGTTTAAACTTGTCACTAACACAGTTTAAGCAGTTTTCCTCATGTACGGCATTAGATGCAAATCATTATGACAGAGTTGTTACGGGTTACTTAGCTCTAAATTTTAGTTATGTGAGTCTGATTTCTGGTGCCAGAAACCCTGCCACATGTGATATTCTCTCATGCATGATGGGAGCTCTTTAAGACCAACGATTAGGTCTTCAATGCTTGGCTCCTTACTACAGTTCAATAAAGGTTATTGGACAATTATACAAATAAAATGTTGTAGGATTACTAAAAGGTAGAAAAAGGTTAGGAATATCTAATACAGACTCTTCTTTATGTTATAGAATTCTTTTTAAATTGAGAACCAGATTTTTCTCTTAGCTTAAAAAAAGGCCAAAGATATTTTAAAAATTCATAAAGCCATCCTTATCCCCTAATTCCTCACTCAACATAGAGTCCTTATTGCTCTTGACTCCCCTTGGAAGAGCATTTCTGTGCTACAGCTTGAAAAGTGCACTTATCCCAGTAATAAAGGTTAAATCTATCTCAAGGAGCAGCAATTCTGCATAGGTAGGGCCACATGGAGGGATGTCATGCTGTGTAACAGCTATTTGGGTCAGAAGAACATGGGTGGTGGTAATGGGATTATTTTTTTTTCAATCTGATTTCTGAGTCCTAAGACTGAAAACCTAAAGAACACAGCCTCTCTTCTGAGTAAATGTAATGAGTTTTGAAGCCATATTTAAGTTTCATTCATTAGATTTGTCGTTTGTGTCTTTGTCTGGGGGAAAAGGAGGAATAATATGTTTTCTCATATTACAGAAAAAATAAAAATAATTCCCAGCTTCTTAGTGTGTTTGCAGTTTCAGAATTCCACTTCAACACACAGGCAACATAACTGATTTTTTAAACTTCAGGTCCTAGCACAGTGTCCTGCACATTTATATTTTCTTTTATTCAGTAAATATTGAGCTTCCAGTAAGTGCTCAGTAAATATCTATGACAGTCTTATAAATCAAAGTGATAAAGAAGGTAAATAAGACTGTGGAATAATAAATGAAAAGATAATGTCACTACACTATGAATTCCTTCCAGGCAACAGCCATTTAAAAATACCTAGTAAAGTTGCTGGCACATCAAAAGTACTTAATAATATTTGTAGAAATAAGTTGATAAATTGTGACATGATCAGAAAATAAGATCTAAGCCAAGAAATGAAGACAGCAAAATTAATTGTATTAGTTGTATTAGGAAATATATGCATGATATCATTACGGAGTAGAAGCCCTTGCAAATGAACATAGGTGACCCAGTATGTAACATGAACCTACACTTTTTGGAATTGTTCAAGAACATGAGCCACTATATCTCTTCTCTCACCCATCTTACCGTTTGGTGTTAAAATCAAGATACAAAGAAGTATTTGCTTTTGTCAAAAAGTGAGCACATTTGCATACGCTACTGTAGAAGAATTTAAGACAGTGTCGAATGATGCAGACACACTTGAGTACAGAGGACTGTAATTCTTAGAGTTTCTTCAAGATGGTAAGACTTGGGCTATTCTCACTTAATAAATTATCCAAGTATTTTTTCTAAATGTAGGTTCCTGGTAAACATCCATCTTTTAAGAATATCAGCAAAATTTTCTGTCAGAGAAATATCAATTCTGTGTGTGTGTGTGTGTGTGTGTGTGTGTGTGTTTATGTTCGGAAGTACAAATTATATTTTATATGTTGATCAGAATTTGTTAACCTGCAAGAGGATTTACAGAACAAGTATATTCTTGTAAAAAATCATTGGTTTAAACACTTTGACACAAGTAGACTTGTAAAATAGTTGGTAACTTAAAACCAAGCCCTAAAATGGTAATCATTCACATTTGTTTCATCTATGATTCCTTTGTGACAACCATATTGTAAAATACCTAAATATTGGTGCTATTATCAGATTTTGTTTTGCTTCCCAAATAGCCACCAGCATGATGCTGAGGAATTCACTAATTTATATAAAGAGATGAATTATTGAACAATCATAAATTATCTAATATGATTTCTAGGTAAGCAGAGATTAAGAAACTTATTTTAAAAGTCCAATAAGTAGAAAAAGGAATATTAACTTTTCTGCAATTAAAATCAAAGAAAATTTTTCATAAGTTGTCCCTGTAAAGATTCTAAAAAATGTATAGCTTCTGCTGGCCTGACACACATTAAAAAAGAGAGAGATGGAAATAGATAGTATCATTCAGCATTCAGAAGCTTGAAGAGTATTAGGTTATTTGAAACTCTGCTTTTAGCAATTAGGCCTTTGGGCATACAAACCCTTTGAAAAATCAGATAATTGCAGGTTTGAATTTTTTTTTAAATGCTTTAAATGTGGTTAAAGCAACACTCAATTGATCTACTTCATAACCTTGGGGAGGAAATAATTTTTAACAAAAGAGCAAGGATTAAGCATTGAAAGGGGTAGAAGAGTCACATAGAAGTTAGTCAACTCAGCACGGAAGGCAAGAATCAATTATGTAAAAATTGCCCTTAAATTACCTGTAAAATGTAGTTCACATAATTCTGTGTACTCAACCTAGTCCATAAAATAATTTGCTTACTAAAAGTTGAGAAACACTGAAGTAGACAAAGGAAAGAAAAATAGAAAGTCTATATGCAGATGTATAAAAATCTAATCATTTTGCTTTAAATACAATTATGAAGTTCCTAGAGGTAAGGGGTGGAGGGTGAGTGAAGGATTCTAAAGTGTTTGTCCTTGCACATTGGTTGACCAGTTTTAATATTGTCTTCATATATTAATATATTTAATAGATTAACTATTGTAAGAATTTAAGTTCTAAAGTAAAGACATAATGTAAATCTGCTAGTATATGATTCCACTGTATCATAGAAGGACCCCTTGCTTCCAAACTCTCCCCTACTGCCCTTTCAGGGTACCTGATTATCACACATAACTTACCAGTGTAGATGATGGTTTGACAATAACCACTGTCAACTAAAGGAAAAAGTGAGGCAAAATTAACATAAGTAGAGAGCCTATTTGAGCCAAATTTGAGGATTGCAACCCAGAAAACACACTTATACACTAAGTTTGAGAGGTGCTCCAAGTTGGGGCAGTTACAAGCAGATTTTTAAGGATAAACTGAAGAGATATAGCAAGGCAGTGTCAGTCTATTCATATAGTAATACCATGGGTTAACAAAAATTAGTGACAGGATGATTGGCTAAAGCATACAGTACCTCTTGGAATAGTTATTACCAGTAAACTAGTTTGTGATTAACCCCTAGTTCCTGGAATTCTTTATATAAGCAAGAGGGGTCTATGAATTTCAGCAGAATGACTGTGGCCTATTTGTCCAAATTTGTTCTCATAGTCAAAATGCAAATGATTTATGAAAAAGGTAATTGCATGATCTTTGATAAGGTAATATTTTTGTAGATAGTTTAATTCATAGTGTCCAGTTCTGAATGTATAGTTTCATTAAGGATATTGTTATCTATCTGTGCTGTCTAATACAGAAGCCACTAGCCACACATATGGCTATTTAAATTAAATTAATTAAAGTTAAATAAAATTTAGAAATCAGCAGGTGGATAATGAGGTCAGGAGTTCGAGACCAGCCTGGCCAGCATGGTGAATCCCTGTCTCTACTAAAAATACAAAAATTAGTTGGGCATGGTGTTTCATGCCTGTAATCCCAGCTACTTAGGAGGCTGAGGCAGGAGAATCACTTAAATCCGGGAGGTGGAGGTTGCAGTGAGCTGAGATTGTGCCACTGCACTCTAGCCTGGGTGACAGAGCAAGACTCCATCTCAAAAAAAAAAAAAAAAATCAGTTACTCAATTATGCTAGCCATCTTTTCAGTGCTCAGCAGCCACATGTGCCTAGTGGCTGTCATATATGGACAGTGCAAATATAGAATATTTCCATTATTATTGAGAGCTCTATTGAATAGCACTGATACACCCATGAATTTGTTTCACGGTATTATTTCTATGGAAAACTCCACAAGTGGTTGGAATAAATTTTGGATAACCAACAGATTAGTAAGTTGAAAGCTACCTATAATTAATTTTGAGTCATGTGTCTCCATGAACATAACCATCTGCAATGAATAATCTTATTTTGATGATAAATAAAACATTTTATTTTCCATCCAAAATTAAAGAAATGCTGTGCTGTGACATTACGAAAATAGCAAGATACAATCTAGCCTATTAGGCTTTACAAAACATTCATTTCTAGTGTGTGTCTGTGGGGGGCATGTGTATACACAATCTTTTAGAGGCAGGGGATATTTTTGATTTCATGATGATTGTAAAATTGAATATATTTGAGCTAAGAAAAAAAATAAGTATGGTGGCTGCTATTGATGGAAATTGTGTGGCCCTTTGTCCTTCACCCCTGGTGATTATTCATTTCTGGGAAAGAAATTTTGTGTACAAATGTTGACAACATGCTAATCCCCTCTGTAGAGATTTCATTTTCAAATAAAAGCTTTCTTCTTTGATTTTCATATTGAACGTTTGGGTTCAAAGGTATAGGGCTACACAAGTAATGCAGTATAGATAGCCTTTTTCTCATACAGTCTCATTTCCACAGGGCTCTGTGGCTCCCTCAGTTGTGTAAAGACGTTTACACTTTTCCTTTAATGTTTCAATAATTTGAGTCCATAAAACAAACTGATAATACACAGATTAATAGGGAAAAGGCATTCACATTTTTATGTGCACATGTGTGCACAGGAGTTATACTAAATATGACAACTCTAAGAAATGGCCAGATGGTTGATGCTTTTATACCATCTTGAAATTACAAAAAGAATGGAGGCTGGGAGTATGGCAGAACAGTTTGTGGTGGCAAAACAGGTTATGGGAGAGGGAGAAGAGGAGGCCTGGCCAGCAAAACTTCTTCTGTTATTTACCTAGATGGTAAATATTTCTTTCAGACCTTTACAAGTGTCAGACTCTTACTCAACCTTTTCTAGAGTTAGAGAAGGGAGGGCCTCAGAGAAAGACTGGCAACACCCATGCAGATTTTCACTGCAGATGCAATTCTCTCCCACAAAAATCAGCTTTGTAGGGTTACTACTGTCTGCAGTCCCTCTGAACAGCCACTTCAAAATATATCAAAATATATTTTGATGTTCAATATTTTGACAGTTGTCTGTTTTCCCAGTTGTATCCAAAGCAGAATAAATGCATACATGCATAAAAAGAGGTAAACAAATACTGAGAAATGGACTCAGGTCAACTTTTCATGTTGATTCTCACTGATTTTCATTCCAAATCCAATTCATTCATTCAATAATTATTATTTAGCATGTAGTGAATGCTAGACACTTTCTATGCACAAGGTAAAGCAGGTCCCTACCCTCACGAGACTTCAAGTCTACTGGGACTTGAGTAAGTTGAAGGGAAGGAAGACAAGGAAAAACATAAATACATACATAAATAAGACAATTTCAAATAGTGACATATTCTGTGAAGAAAATAAAATAGGCTAGTGGGAGAGAGGTGGCTCACACACTGAGTTATTTTGGGTAGGGTGCTCAGAAAAGTCATCCGTAAGGGTGACATTTGAGCTGACAGCTAAATGATGAGTAGACATTAGCTTTACAAAGACAAAGAAATACAGAATTTTGAGAAGAGAGAACAGCAAATGCAAAATCCCCGAAACAGAGACAACTTCAGTGTGCCAAAGAAATTTAAAAAAAAAAGAAAGAAAGGAAAAAAGAAAGGGTAGGGTTGCTACAGTGTAGGAAGGAGAAAGAGAATGATAGGGGTGTCCTTAGGGGCAGGTAGAAGGAAGGTATTAGAGTCTGGTAGACATGGTAATACATTAAGACTTTATTCTAATTGCAATTTGAAGCCATTTGAAGCATTTTAACCAGGGAAGTGAAACAATCTGATTTCTATTTGTAGATCAGTCAAGTGACTTTGTGAAGGATGAACTAAAGAATGCAATAGTGCAGCAGGAGCATCAACTGCGAGAGGCATGTTGTTGCAGTATTTCCACTAGAATAGCGATACGACTAGGGCCAGCAGAGGAGATTGGGGTAAATAAATCCAAAATATATGTTGGATGTAAAATAGACTTGACTTGCTAATGGATGTAAGCAATAAGAGAAAAGGAAGAAGGAGGTTAAAGGACCCTTGATTTTATCCTGAGCAAGTGGGTGGATGATGGTTTTATTAACCCAAATGTGGTCGTCAGTAGCTATGCTACCCAATTATTCTTACATGGAGGACAACTGGCAATGTCCATTTGGTCCAGCAAACCACAGAAGACAGTTATTTCACAGTCATCAATTTGGTCATTGGAAACATTCTCTGATCAGAAATGAAACCCCCCATCAGGATCAATGCAGTTTATATAATGTAACAAAGAAACACTACACTATACATAATTCCATCTCAAAATATCATGCTAACTTTACCATGTGCATAAATTAATATATATATTCTTAAGTTATCAATACTCAGAATGGAGTGAGATGGTAAAAAAAAAAAACAAAAAAAAACCGTCTCCATATTCCAGAGATATGAGTTCAAATTCTTTCTTGGCACTGTGTAATCTTGGATGAGTCACTTCATCTCTTAAATCTCATCTTAAAAATCAAAGCAATAGTGTTACTTTATTGAATTGTAGGAAGACTGCATAAGATAATTTATGTGAAATGCTTCAAATACTGCCTGTAGTATAACAAATGTTCAGTAAATAAAGGAGTCTCTCTTTCTTCTCTTCCTCATTCCCTTGAGTTATTGCCAAGTTGTCATTCAGCCTTATCTACTCCACCAACTTTGCAATATTAGCATAAAGATTGCATATTAGGCCATGCTTGCATTGCTATAAGGAAATATCTGAGACTGGGTCATTTATAAAGAAAGGAGAATTAATTGGCTCATGGTTCTGCAGGCTGTGCAGGAAGCATGGTGCTTGGCTTCTGGGGAGGCATCAGGGAGCTTTTGCTCATGGCAGACAGAAGGTGAAGCAAGAGCAGACACTTCACATGGTGGAAGCAGGAGGAAGAGAGGGAGGGGAGGTGCCACACCTTAAAACAACCGGCTCTCCAGAACTCTCTGTCATGAGGAAAGCACCAAGCTATGAAGGATCTACTTCTATGACCAAAATACCTGCCACCAGGCATCACATCCAACACTGGGAATTACATTTCAACATGAGATTTGGGTGGGGACAAATATCCAAACCATATCAGATTGTGTCTACTTCTAGATAGTTTCAGCCAAAGTTACAGATTTCTGTCTTATTTTCCTCATATTGTGCATATCAAAAGCAAATACTGATGGGTGAGAGGTGGATTATGATAATTGGCCAGATGTGGCTCACTTGTCAATTCCTGGAATAATAGGGTAGGCTCAGAGTCCTTGAAATCATGAATATGAGAGAATGGTGATTCCACAATGCAAAATTAAATTGAGGTTACCTGAAGAGAGAGTAATGAATGCTGATCAGAAGAAAAACACCTGCTACTATACATGTGCATGTTTTTCTTGAAGGAAATTTAGAAACATTATAATTATTGTCCAAATTCCATTATAAAAGTGCTAATCTTGCCAGTTCCTTCTCATCACTGAACTGCTTTGGAAACTCAATATTATAAGGTAAGATCAGCCCTAGACAAGAAGTTGCTAGCTGTATTTCTACTCCTATCTTTATTGCTAATCAGCTTTTAGAAGTGGAGACAATAGAAAACTTTGTTTGCTGCATTCTCAGGATGAGAAAATAAGAAACTCTGATTTCTATTTTTAAAAGAAATGCAGATTTCTGTATTATAGATCTAACTATAGATCAAATCTGGTCATGGATAGATATTAATCTTCCAGTATTGCTTGCACCCAGAGGTTTCTATGTTACTCTCTTCTGGCTAATTCCACAGAACAGGAAGTCTTCTGGTGTGTTAATGGAAATAATTTTGCCCTCTAATAGGAGGTAAAAGAAGGTAAGATTACTTTCTTAGCCAACCACTGCTTCCTCTATTTGAATGAAACCATGCTGTCAAAGTCAATACCTTGCCTAAGGAAGGGAGAGTAGATATTTGAAAGGGGTTGGGTTTGGATAAAGTCATTGAGGAACTGAACAAATTTCAGCAACTGCCAACCTCTACAATTAGTTTCGTAGAGCCAAGAAGAAAGTTCCCCTTTTGCCCTCTGAGTCACTGAAAATCACCAATAAAAGACAGATTAACAGGGTAAAGCAAATACAAATGTATTTAATCATACTTTCATGTGACATAGGAACCTTCAGAATGAAGATCTCAAAGATACAATGGAAACTCCCTTTTTATACTTCGGTTCAACAAAGTATAAACAGCCATATAGAAATATGATTGGGCAAAAAGGGTAAGATCTAATGCTAATAGATGGAACAGGGAAGACCCCCAACGACCTGACTGTTTAGATTCTTGCTGGCTTGTCTGTGCAGCCATTTTTCCTTTCAGGTATGGGGCAGGACCCTGTCTGGAATGGGGGTCTTAAAACCTGCAGTCAAAAAAATGTAGGTCAGATGATTTCTTTAGGTCCAGTTTTTACACAGAGAGGCAGAGGGGAAGATTTGAGTAATGTTCTCAGGTTTTATGGCTGGCTTTGGGGAAAAGGGATTCTGGTTTCTATGACCCACCTTGGGGAAGAGAGATTATAGTTTCTATGGCTAGCCTCAATGGAAACAAGGGGCCAGATATAGGAGGGCAGGTGAAGGTCAGAGAAAAACTTTTGCTTCTGAGGATGCTTCTGAGGCCTTCATTTCAGGGTATCATTTTCTGATCTCCAAAATATTTAAGTGAGAAAAATTAAACTATACTGGTCTAATGAGATACTAGCTGAGATTTCTGTTATGCCAAAGGGATTCCAACTGATAAGACAAGTATAATACATTATGAGGAGCCTTGCAAATATTCCGAGAATGAGAAAATTAAAGCAAGATAAATAGTTTACATAGGACAAATGCCAGGATTTTTTAACCAAGAATTCACAGATCTCTGGGTTCTATGAACTCTGTCGAATTGTATGCTAAACTATGTGTACATACGCATACTTACCAGGAAATTGTTGAACAAATATTTAAATAGGCATGTGATCCAAAACAGATGTGTGATTAAAAATAGATTATTATCTTCTCCCATTGCTATATTGGTTATGGCATTACATAGTAGGCATTCAGTAAGTATTTGAATAATCCAAATGTATTAAATAAATGCAAGGATAAAGAAATGAACAATTCAGTAAAGAATGTCAATATTTTGCCTGTATATTCTGGACAGGTGCTGAAATATGAGATTTCAATAGTGCCACTGCATTACCGTTCCTCAAAAATCTTGCATTCTAAAGGAGAAAAAAAAAAGGTATGGAAATGATTTTGTTTTGGAACGGTAACTGATAAGATAAATTTGCACACAGATGTTATTGAAGTACAGAAACAGGACTCTCTCCCAACAGAGAGTCACAGTATATTTTATGGACTCTAGACTGCTCCAGTGGTAATGAGAAATCCGCTCCAGAGAATTGACAGAGTCTGAGGTTTGTTTAACTCTGAAGAAGAATCTAGAAAACAGAGTAGTAGTAAGATAGTATATCCCAAAATTCATGTTCACCTGGAACCTTAGAATGTGGAATGTGGCCTTATTCGGAAATAAGGTCTTTGCTGATATAATTGGTTAAAATGAGGTCAGGCTGGACTAGAGTGAGCCCTACTTTTAATGACTGGTGTTCCTATAGAAAGAAGAGAGGGCATACAGAGAAGAAGGCATTAGAGTGGCAGGAATCAGAGCCATGCAGCTACAAGCGAAGCAATGCCCAAGATTTATGGCACCCAGCAGAAACCAGGAGAGAGGCATGGAACAGACTTTCCCTCAAAGCCTCCAGAAGGAGCTAATCCTGCCAACATCTGGATTTCTGATTTCTTCCCTCCTAAAGCATTCGTGAATTAATTTCTGTTTTTTGTCTTTTTTTTTCCTTTTTTTTTTTTTTTTTTTTGAGACCGAGTTTTGCTCTTGTTGCCCAGGCTGCAGTGCAGTGGCACGATCTCGGGCTCACTGCAGACTCTGCTTTCCGGATTCAAGCGATTCTCCTGCCTCAGTCTCCCAAGTGGCTGGGATTACAGGCGCCTGCCACGATACCCAGCTAATTTTGGCCAGGCTGGTCTCAAACTCTCGACCTCAGGCAATCTGCCCGCCGCAGCCTCCCAATGTGCTAGGATTACAGGCGTAACCCACCGCGCCCGGCCAATTTCTATTGTTTTAAGCCACCCATTTGTGGTCATCGGTTACAGCTGCCCTGGGAAACTCTTACAGCTGTAAGGCATTGGCCTGTAGAGGAAGGCTCAGGAAAGGCCACATGGAGAAAAAAATGTGAGCTCAATTTAGAAGTTAATTCAAGGTTGTTGGCTGGATTCATTCAAATTTACAACAAAAAGATCATAATAAAATATTTCAAAAGCTGCATATATTCTAGAATTTTTCAATGGCCATGAGAAATCTACACCAGCGTAACAGCAAAGTCACTTGCCAGAGTATGAATTTTGTTAAACTATGAAAAAGGGTCCATCATCAAAATTGCCAAGATCTTACTGAAAAGCAAATTTTGTGCTGCCTGCTATTTTCAATTTAGTAAGACTCCAAGCAAATCAATGAGGTCAAACAGCTAACATGATCTGGAAACTCATAGAAGAGAAATACTCATCCCATTGAAGGAATGATAAATCATATATTTCTAGCTGATAAATATTGTTTTCCATTTGGTTTTGCTTTCCATCAACAACTAGGAACACCCATTCTTAGTGACTTACACATGCACATTATATTTTATATTAATTCTATTTTCAATTTGGGGTATAAAAAGTTAATATCTATATAAATATCTATATAAAAAATTTGTTATGTAAAAGCATATAAAATAAACATTAGGAATATAATTATCGAGCATTACACATTATGTAGAATATTTTTACAAATAAACATCTGAATCACACAAAGGAGAAAATGGTTATATGCTGAGTTTTAAATTTAACAAGATATTTAAAACAATAAAAATTTAATTAAAAGCAACTGAGAATCCCGCAGGGCGGCAACCCCAGAACTTTTGCGAAATTTTGTTCATATTTGCCCTCTGCATTCTTTAGTCCTCTTCCTCAGGAGTTGGAATTGGAAGGAAAGCCCAAGTAGCAATTACTCAAAAGATGTCTGTGCTTTATATCACCATATTTAGAAACTTCTAGATACTATGTTTGGAATCAGGAATTCTCATTATGTACTTAAGTAATTATTGTCATTTTAATTGTCAATGAGCTAGTAAAGCATATTCACTGCTCCATTTCTCAATTGCAGCAAACAGCTATGGTCCAATCTTCTGGAGAAAGGTTTGTGTCTGAAAACTGGAGAACTTTTACTATTACTTCCTCCTTTAAGATTTCCTCAGGTCTTTAGATTCATCTTCTTCCCTTTACCCCAGTCCAACCATGTTTTATTGTTCTCTGTTTTTTTGTGTTTTTTTTTGTTTTTTTGTTTTTTTTTGAGACAGAGTCTCACTCTGTTGCCCAGGCGGGAATACAATGTCGTGATCTTGGCTCACTGCAACCTCCACCTCCTGGGTTCAAGAAATTCTCTGCCTCAGCCCCCCGAGTAGCTAGGATGACAGGCGCCTGCCACCACGCCTGGCTAACTTTTGTATTTTTAGTAGAAACGGGGTTTCACCATGTTGGCCAGGCTGGTCTTGAACTCCTGACCTCGTGATCCACCCGCCTTGGGCTCCCAAAGTGCTGGGATTACAGGCATGAGCCACCGCACCCAACCAGGCCAGCCATGGTTTTAAGCTTCTCCTGGAAGAGAGAAGGCACATGTGGGGCATGACCAAAATATCAGGGAGGACAATCAGTGATAACAATAAGGTCGTGATTCCTTATTATGATGGCAGGTTTGTGTTGTCAGACGTTTCTTGAGCACTTACTCTGTGCTAGCAATGCTAGGCATGGGTTTCCAGTGGTAAGTAAGATGGATGTAGTCTCCTGTAGAATACAATATTGTTTCTTTCAACACAGGTACATTACCATCACTTCCTTGAGATGATAGTTTTCCTACTCTCCATCCACTTCCCACCATCTTGGAAACATCAGTTTTAGAATCCTGCAGGATTATTAGTACTAACTTCTCTGTTAGTCTATATAGTTAAAGCAATATTTTGCTAGTGCTAGCGTGTGTCCAAATGGAATTCTTTCCCTACCTTGGGATGTTTTGAGTGTGTACTGAGGAAGAGAATCTGGAATCCTCCCAGGACCTCAGGAGCTCATGATGACGTATCATCTCTTCTGTTTTCAGTTGGTCCAAAGTAACTCTGAATGAGAAGTTTTAAGACATTTAAAGAGCTACATTTCTTCTACTAGTTTTGCATTCTGTCCTCACAGGGTAAAATTTAGTCCTCTTATGTAATAGTTACAACCAAGTGGCCAAATTGCTCATCTTTTTACATTTTAATTTGTAACTACCTATACGCATCTAAAAACAAACAAAACCCTAAGCAACAGCAAAGACACTAGCCTGCCATGCTCAAACCAAGAAGGAGTAACATTGTAGATGTTACAATTTACTTACTGTAAAATTCTTCTTAAGGAGAGATTCCAGAAATGCTTATGAACTAAAGGAACTATGACATTTAAATAGCCTTAGACTGCTATATTCTACTACCAAAATAAAAGAACTTTTATCACAATCAAAAGCTTTTTGGCATCCCTTTTTCTCCTAAATTCTGGTAACATTTACTTGCTGACATAGTATTACAGCTAAACCAAATTGCTCTATTATTGCCTTTAGGAAATGGAAATGAGCCGAATTGTCCAATTTCTTTTTTGCATACCACCTAAGTACACCCGCATACACTTTCAATACACTTTAATTTTTTTTATTATACTTTAAGTTCTGGGATACATGTGCAGAATGTGCAGGTTTGTTACATAGGTATACATGTGCCATGTTGGTTTGCTGCACCCATCAGCCCATCATCTACATTAGGTATTTCTCCTAATGCTATCGTTCCCCTAGACCCCCACTCCCCTACAGGCCCTTGTGTGTGATGTTTCCCTCCCTGTGTCCATGTGTTCTCATTCTTCAACTCCCACTTATGAGTGAGAACATGTAGTATTTGGTTTTCTGTTCTTGTGTTAGTTTGCTGAGAATGATGGTTTCCTGCTTCATCCGTGTCCCTGCAAAGGACATTAACTCATCCTTTTCTATGGCTGCATAGTATTCTATGGTGTATATGTGCCACATTTTCTTTATCCAGTCTATCACTGATGGGCATTTGGGTTGGTTCCAAGTCTTTGCTATTGTGAACAGTGCTGCAATAAACATACGTGTGTATGTGTCTTCACAGTAGAATGACTTCCATTTTTTGTGTGTGGAGACAGAGTCTCACTCTGTTGCCCAGGCTGGGGTACAGGGGTACCAACTTGGCGCACTGCAACCTCCACCTCAGCAATGCTACTGCCTCAGCCTCCCCAGTCGCTGGGTTTACAGACACCCACCATCATGCCTGGCTAACTTTTGTATTTTCAGTAGAGATGGGTTTTCACCATGTTGGCCAGGCTGGTCTTGAACTCCTGACGTCAAGTGATCCTCCCACCTTAACCTCCCAAAGTGCTGGGATTACAGGTGTGAGCCAATGCACCCAGCCCCACCTAAATTTTCTATGCTGATTATGCTTATTTTTCATTCTCCTTCATTAGAAAGTTTGGAAACAACTTTTTATGCCATTTTTTTAAAATTTAAGGGTTTTAATTTAAATCTCAAGTGGTTCTTTTTCTTTCATGTATTATGAAGAATTATTTAGTCATTAAACTGTCTCCTTTGTAAATAATACTACAAACATTCAGACTGGAAAAACCCTGTTATCCTGACGGTAAGTAAACATTAAATGCTCATGAGGAAATATTTTACACCCAAATATTAATAGGCAATTATCTTCCAGAAGACATATTGATAAAAGTCTTTCAATGATGTGAAACAAGGTAATAGATAATTGTATTTATTATAGCTATTTGCTTCAGTTACACTCTAAAGTTAATTTTGTTCTGCCTAATGTTATTTTAATTAAATATACACTGCAAGTAGGTCAATGTTGTTAGATGTTGGGTCAATATAGTTATGAGGCAGTTTATATTTATAATGACTCTCTTGCTTCTTTCTAGCAACATTTAATGATCTATAAATTAAAACAGAATTGGATAGCCTCTTGAATTGTTCTAAGAATTTTCTTCAAGAGATAAACATTCAAAGTAGATTAACAACCAATGAGTGGAATTGTGAGCTGATGTGTGCATATGTGTGTGTGTGTGTGTATATATGTGTGTGTGTTTGTGTATATGTGTGTATATACATATGTGTTTGTGTATACATATATGTGTGTATATATGTGCGTATATATGTGTGTGTTTGTGTATGTGTATATACACACACATATATGTATAGATGTATATATGTATACATATATATGTATATATACAGTATATATACACACACACGTATATATGTGTATATGTGTGTGTGTAATTATCCCTTGCAACCACACTAACCTCAAAGGAGGTGAAGTCATTTGCCAGAAAAAAAATTATATAAAACCTTTAAGGGTTGTGCTTTTTCAAGTCAAGAGAGAATATCATTAAAAGATGATAGAAACTAGGTGACAACAATAATGAGTTGAAGAAGGAAATCCTCAGTAACCACCAAAGTTGTAGATATAGAGTCTCAAAATCATTATTTCACTGAATGAGCAAGAATTTTGTGTCCACCTTCACAAGTTTAAAGATGATGTCTACAGATTAAACTTCAAGAAGGCCCTCCCAACTAGAAGGTCCTATCAACTTGACCATCACATTTCAATCATACAACTGAGTAGTTGATAAACATACAGAAATATCAAACTGATAACAGTATGACCTAATATTTCTTGATCAGACAGAATAACATTTATGTCTGGGACATATAAAAGAGTGGTTCTGGGATGGGTGTGGCGGCTCACGCCGGTAATCCCAGCACTTAGGGAGGCCAAGCCGGGCGGATCACGAGGTCAAGAGATGAAGACCATCCTGACCAACATGATGAAACCCCACCTCTATTAAAAATTCAAAAATTAGCTGAGCATGGTGGCGTGCACCTGTAGTCCCAGCTACTCGAGAGGCTGAGGCAGGAGAATTGCTTGAACCAGGGAGGCACAGGTTGCAGTGATCTCAGATCACACCACTGCACTCCAGCCTGGCAACAGAGTGAGACTCTGTCTCAAAAAATAATAATAAATAAATAAATAAATAATAGTTCCACCACGGTCACAGCCTAAGTATCATCTTCTTGTTTATTTGTAAGTTTGGATATGCTGTAACATCCTAAAATAGAAGAAAAAAATGTATACCATAACTTTAGGATTTAATGTTCTTTTTTATTATTATTATACTTTAAGTTTTAGGGTACATGTGCAGAACGTGCAGGTTTGTTACATACGTATACATGTGCCATGTTGGTGTGCTACACCTATTAACTCGTCACTTAGCATTAGGTATATCTCCTAATGCTCTCCCTCCCGCCCACCCAACAGTCCCCAGTGTGTGATGTTCCCCTTCCTGTGTCCATGTGTTCTCATTGTTCAATTCCCACCTATGAGTGAGAACATGCAGTGTTCAGTTTTTTGTCCTTGCGATAGTTTGCTGAGAATGATGGTTTCCAGCTTCATCCATGTCCCTACAAAGGACATAAACTCACCATTTTTTATGGCTGCATAGTATTCCATGGTGTATATGTGCCACATTTTCTTAATCCAGTCTATCATTGTTGGACATTTGGGTTAGTTCCAAGTCTTTGCTACTGTGAATAGGGCCACAATAAACATACATGTGCATGTGTCTTTATAGCAGCATGATTTACAATCCTTTGGGTATATATCCAGTAATGGGATGGCTGGGTCAAATGGTATTTCTAGTTCTAGACCCCTGAGGAACTGCCACACTGACTTCCACAATGGTTGAACTAGTTTACAGTCCCACCAACAGTGTAAAAGTGTTCCTGTTTCTCCACATCCTCTCCAGCACCTGTTGTTTCCTGACTTTTTAATGATTGCCATTCTAACTGGTGTGAGATGGTATCTCATTGTGGTTTTAATTTGCATTTCTCTGATGGCCAGTGATGATGAGCATTTTTTCATGTGTTTTTTGGCTGCGTAAATGTCTTCTTTTGAGAAGTGTCTGTTCATATCCTATGCCCACTTTTTGACGGGGTTGTTTGTTTTTTTCTTGTAAATTTGTTTGAGTTCATTGTAGATTCTGGATATTAGCCCTATGTCAGATGAGTAGGTTGCGAAAATTTTCTCCCATTCTGTAGGTTGCCTGTTCACTCTCATGGTGGTTTCTTTTGCTGTGCAGAAGCTCTTTAGTTTAATCAGATCCCATTCATCAATTATGGCTTTTGTTGCCATTGCTTTTGGTGTTTTAGACATGAAGTCCTTGCCCATGCCTATGTCCTGAATGATACTGCCTAGGTTTTCTTCTAGGGTTTTTATGGTTTTAGGTCTAATATTTAAGTCTTTAATCCATCTTGAATTAATTTTTGTATAAGGTGTAAGGAAGGGATCCAGTTTCAGCTTTCTACATATGGCTAGCCAGTTTTCCCAGCACCATTTATTAAATAGGGAATCCTTTCCCCATTGCTTGTTTTTGTCAGGTTTGTCAAAGATCAGATAGTTGTAGATATGCTGCATAATTTCTGAGGGCTCTGTTCTGTTCCATTGGTCTATATCTCTGTTTTGGTACCAGTAGCATGCTGTTTTGGTTACTGTAGCCTTGTAGTATAGTTTGAAGTCAGGTGGCGTGATGCCTCCAGCTTTGTTCTTTTGGCTTAGGAATGACTTGGCAATGCGGGCTCTTTTTTGGTTGCAAATGAACTTTAAAGTAGTTTTTTCCACTTCTGTGAAGAAAGTCATTGGTAGCTTGATGGGGATGGCATTGAATGTATAAATCACCTTGGGCAGTATGGCCATTTTCATGATATTGATTCTTCCAACCCATGAGCATGGAATGTTCTTCCATTTCTTTGTATCCTCTTTTATTTCACTGAGCAGTGGTTTGTAGTTCTCCTTGAAGAGGTCCTTCACGTCCCTTGTAAGTTGGATTCCTAGGTATTTTATTCTCTTTGAAGCAATTGTGAATGGGAGTTCAGTCATGATTTGGCTCTCTGTTTGGCTGTTATTGGTGTATAAGAATGCTTGTGATTTTTGTACATTGATTTTGTATCCTGAGACTTTGCTGAAGTTGCCTATCAGCTTAAGGAGATTTTGGGCTGAGACAATGGGGTTTTCTAGATATACAATCATGTCATCTGCAAACAGGGACAATTTGACTTCCTCTTTTCCTAATTGAATGCCCTTTATTTCCTTCTCCTGCCTGATTGCCCTGGCCAGAACTTCCAACACTATGTTGAATAGGAGTGGTGAGAGAGGGCATCCCTGTCTTGTGCCAGTTTTCAAAGGGAATGCTTCCAGTTTTTGCCCTTTCAGTATGATACTGGCTGTGGGTTTGTCATAGATAGCTCTTATTATTTTGAGATACATCCCATCAATGCCTAATTTATTGAGAGTTTTTAGCATGAAGCGTTGTTGAATTTTGTCAAAGGCATTTTCTGCATCTATTGAGATAATCATGTGATTTTTGTCGTTGGTTATGTTTATATGCTGGATTACATTTATTGATTTTCGTATGTTGAACCAGCCTTGCATCCCAGGGATGAAGCCCACTTGATCATGGTGGATAAGCTTTTTGATGTGTTGCTGGATTCGGTTTGCCAGTATTTTATTTAGGATTTTTGCACCAATGTTCATCAAGGATATTGGTCTAAAATTCTTTTTTGTTGTGTGTCTGCCAGGCTTTGTTATCAGGATGATGCTGGCCTCATAAAATGAGTTAGGGAGGATTCCCTCTTTTTCTATTGATTGGAATAGTTTCAGAAGGAATGGTACCAGCTCCTCCTTGTACCTCTGGTAGAATTCAGCTGTGAATCCATCTGGTCCTGGACTTTTTTTGGTGGGTAAGCTATTAATTATTGCCTCAATTTCAGAGCCTGTTATTGGTCTATTCAGGGATTCAACTTCTTCCTGGTTTAGTCTTGGGAGGGTGTATGTGTCAAGGAATTTATCCATTTCTTCTAGATTTTCTAGTTTATTTGCGTAGAGGTGTTTATAGTATTCTCTGATGGTAGTTTGTATTTCTGTGGGATCAGTGGTGATATCTCCTTTGTCATTTTTTATTGAGTCTATTTGATTCTTCTCTCTTTTCTTCTTTATTAGTCTTGTTAGTGGTCTATCAATTTTGTTGATCTTTTCAAAAAACCAGCTCCTGGATTCATTAATTTTTTGAAGGGTTTTTTGTGTCTCTATTTCCTTCAGTTCTGCTCTGATCTTAGTTATTTCTTGCCTTCTGCTAGCTTTTGAATATGTTTGCTCTTGCTTTTCTAGTTCTTTTAATTGTGATGTTAGGGTGTCAATTTTAGATCTTTCCTGCTTTCTCTTGTGGGCATTTAGTGCTATAAATTTCCCTCTACACACTGCTTTAAATGTGTCCCAGAGATTCTGGTATGTTGTGTCTTTGTTCTTGTTAGTTTCAAAGAACGTCTTTATTTCTGCCTTCATTTCATTATGTACCCAGTAGTCATTCAGGAGCAGGTTGTTCAGTTTCCATGTAGTTGAGCAGTTTTAAGTGAGTGTCCTAATCCTCAGTTCTAGTTTGATTGCACTGTGGTCTGAGAGACAGTTTGTTATAATTTCTGTTCTTTTACATTTGCTGAGGAGTGCTTTACTTCCAACTATGTGGTCAATTTTGGAATAGGTGTGGTGTGGTGCTGAAAAGAATGTATATTCTGTTGATTTGGGGTGCAGAGTTCTGTAGATGTCTATTAGGTCCACTTGGTGCAGAGCTGAGTTCAATTCCTGTATATCCTTCTTAACATTCGGTCTCGTTGTTCTGTCTAATATTGACAGTGGGGTGTTAAAGTCTCCCATTATTATTGTGTGGGAGTGTAAGACACTTTGTAGGTCACCAAGGACTTGCTTTATGAATCTGGGTGCTCCTGTATTGGGTGCATACATATTTAGGATAGTTAGCTCTTCTTGTTGAATTGATCCCTTTACCATTATGTAATGGCCTTCTTTGTCTCTTTTGATCTTTGTTGGTTTTAAGTCTGTTTAATCAGAGACTAGGATTGCAACCCCTGCCTTTTTTGTTTTCCATTTACTTGGTAGATCTGCCTCCATCCCTTTATTTTGAGCCTATGTGTGTCTCTGCATGTAAGATGGGTTTCCTGAATACAGCACACTGATGGGTCTTGACTCTTTATCCAATTTGCCAGGCTGTGTCTTTTAATTGGAGCATTTAGTCCATTTACATTTAAAGTTAATATTGTTATGTGTGAATTTGATCCTGTCATTATGATGTTAGCTGGTTATTTTGTACGTTAGTTGATGCAGTTTCTTCCTATTCTTGATGGTCTTTACAATTTGGCATGTTTTTGCAGTGGCTGGTACCAGCTGTTCCTTTCCATGTTTAGTGCTTCCTTCAGGAGCTCTTTTAGGGCAGGCCTGGTGGTGACAAAATCTCTCAGCATTTGCTTGTCTGTAAAGTATTTTATTTCTCCTTCACTTATGAAGCTTAGTTTGGCTGGATATGAAATTCTGGGTTGAAAAATTCATTTCTTTAAGAATGTTGAATATTGGCCCCCACTCTCTTCTGGCTTGTAGAGTTTCTGCCAAGAGATCCGCTGTTAGTCTGATGGGCTTCCCTTTGTGGGTAACCCGACCTTTCTCTCTGGCTGCCCTTAACATTTTTTCCTTCATTTCAACTTTGGTGAATCTGACAAGTATGTGTCTTGGAGTTGCTTTTCTCGAGGAGTATCTTTGTGGCATTGTCTGTATTTCCTGAATTTGAATGTTGGCCTGCCTTGCTAGATTGGGGAAGTTCTCCTGGATAATATCCTGCAGAGTGTTTTCCAAGTTGCTTCCATTATCTCCATCACTTTCAGGTACACCAATTAGACGTAGATTTGGTCTTTTTACATAGTCCCATATTTCTTGGAGGCTTTGTTCGTTTCTTTTTATTCTTTTTTCTCTAAACTTCTCTTCACACTTCATTTCTTTCATTTCGTCTTCCATCGCTGATACCCTTTCTTCCAGTTCATAACATCTGTTACTGAGACTTGTGCATTCATCACGTAGTTCTCATGCTGTGGTTTTCAGCTCCATCAGGTCCTTTAAGGACTTCTTTGCATTGGTTATTCTAGTTATCTATTCGTCTAATTTTTTTCAAACTTTTTAACTTCTTTGCCATTGGTTCGAACTTCCTCCTTCAGCTCGGAGTAGTTTGATCTTCTGAAGCCTTCCTCTCTCAACTTTTTGAAGTCATTCTCCGTCCAGCTTTGTTCCGTTGCTGGTGAGGAGCTGCATTCCTTTGCAGGAGGAGAGGTGCTCTGATTTTTAGAGTTTCCGGTTTTTCTGCTTTGTTTTTTCCCCATGTTTGTGGTTTTATCTACCTTTGGTCTTTGATGATGGTGACTTACAGATGGGTTTTTGGTGTGGATGTCCTTTCTGTTTGTTAGTTTTCCTTCTAACAGTCAGGACCCTCAGCTGCAGGTCTGTTGGAGTTTACTCGAGGTCCACTCCAGAGCCTGTTTGCCTGGGTATCAGCAGCGGTGGCTGCAGAACAGCAGATATTGCTGAACCGCAAATGCTGCTGCCTGATCGTTCCTCTGGAAGTTTTGTCTCAGAGGAGTACCCAGCCGTGTGAGGTGTCAGTCTGCCCCTACTGGGGGGTGCCTCCCAGTTAGGTTACTCGGGGGTCAGGGACCCACTTGAGGAGGCAGTCTGGCCATTCTCAGATCTCAAGCTGCATGCTGGGAGAACCACTACTCTCTTCAATGCTGTCAGACAGGGACATTTAAGTCTGCAGAGGTTATTGCTGTCTTTTGTTTGTCTGTGCCCTGCCCCCAGAGGTGGAGCCTACAGAGGCTGGCAGGCCTCCTTGAGCTGTGGTGGGCTCCACCCAGTTCGAGCTTCCTGGCCGCTTTGTTTACCTACTCAAGCCTAAGCAATGGCAGGCGCCCCTCCCCCAGCCTGGCTGCCACCTTGCAGTTTGATCTCAGACTGCTGTGCTAGCAATGAGGAAGGCTCTGTGGGCGTACGACCCTCTGAGCCAGGTGCATGATATAATCTCCTGGTGTGCCATTTGATAAGCCCATTGGAAAAGTGCAGTATTAGGGTGGGAGTGACCCAATTCTCCAGGTGCCATCTGTCACCCCTTTCTTTGACTAGGAAAGGGAATTCCCTGACCCCTTGCACTTCCTGGGGGAGGTGATGCCTCGCCCTGCTTCGGCTCACACATGGTGCGCTGCACCCACTGTCCTGCACCCACTGTCCAGCACTTCCCAGTGAGATAAACCCGGTACCTCAGTCGGAAATGCAGAAATCACTCGTCTTCTGCGTTGCTCATGCTGGGAGCTGTAAACTGGAGCTGCTCCTATTTGGCAATCTTGGCTCTACCCCAGGTTTTAATGTTAAAGGCAGTCTCTTTCTAGGGCATGGGAATGCAATGGAAGTAAATCTCTTCCTACACAAATCCTCTTACTAAATGTAAAACTAACTTTTAGATCTGTTGAATCATCCTTTTGAATCACAGGTTCTATTTGAAAAATATAATAGAATGTCTCACAAATAAGTGCATTATCATCTAAAGGATAGCAAAATGTCTGAAATTGTAGAAAACAAAGTTCCAGAAATGTGTTTACTCACTAAGTACATTCTACAGCCCTACCTGTATCTGGTATTAAAGACAGTCACAGGGAATATAGCAGTAATGATCCAAAGCATTTGAAATAGGAACTTCTTGCTTTCGTGGAACTATTAATTTACTGGGAAAGACAAGAGATGCAGAACAACCATGACATGAAGATATAAATGTTCAGAACTAAGAGAGTGGTATGGTGTGATACAAATTTAGGTCACGAAAAAGGCTATTCCTATTAGCTTTGAAATGCCCACGTATGTTCAAGCATCCATCATTAATTCTATGCATATTCATATTTTGGTGTATAAGCCAAATATTTTGTAACTTGTGGTGTGTTAATTTTCTATAATGTTAATACTTTGACAAAGGAAGAATATAGCATGAGGGAAGTAGAGAGGAAGCTAGTAAAGTTGCATGTTTCTGAAAGGGCCCAACTCAGCCAACAAAAAATTTCAATTCAAATGTTAGTTAGTATGGTTATCAGTCCTATTCTTAATATTATTAAGAACCATCCCCCAGACCCACACCAAGATATAATTGAAGCTGCTATATTCTAAATATAGGTCAACATTTCCTAAATTGCATTCTGCAGAGTACTAACTCTGTGAAACATTTTTTAGGGTTATATTTTTAAAAAAATTTCTTCCACTGTTAAGTAGGTTTGAGAAATGCTGGCTTCATCATTCAGGGAAAGTCTTCAAGACTTTTCTGAGTCTTTAATATAATTATCCAATGTGGGGGACATAGCAATGGCACAACTCATTTGAGGACAGAATTCTTTTTCTCTTTGTTCATTGCTACACAATTTTTCTAAGGTACACAATTTGAACTCCTAAATGGATGCCTAAGGAAATTCTATTAAGCTCAAGACTAGAAACACGACATTGGCTAGAATTCACTCCCTTGTTGTCCCTGGCTGGGTCATTTAAGCCAACGTCTGTCTATCTATCTATCTGTCTATCTATCTATCTATCTATCTATCTATTTATCTATCTATCATCTGTCTGTCTGTCTGCCTATCTATCTATCTCTATCTATCTATGTGCCTGCCTGTCTGTCTATCCATCCATCCATTCATCCATTCATCCATCTCTCTATTATTTTTCTCTATTTATAAGACTTATGGGAAGTCAGATGGCACAGCACCAGGTTCCTTGAGATTAAGGCAGGTAGAGTTTTTCCAGAAGCTACAGTATTATTGGCACTAACATTATTTTTCTTAGGACAGACATGATCTGACATGGTAATCCAGGCTCTGAGGAGGAAAGTGGGTTACTGAAAGAAAATATGAATTGAAGATAATGTTTAGATTCAACGTGGTTTGCTTTAGTTTGCTTTTCTCTCTGAAATAAGAATTTAAACAAAGGCATTTTATAATATAGACATCGACACATATATAATCAAGGTTCATTCTTGTTCTTGAAGGAAAGAGAGCTGCATTCCAAGGAGGCTTGAAGCATGATTTATTGAAATATATTTCATTATGTATCACACTATGAATTCTGCATATCAGGGCACTCTACTAATGATCATCTTTCTGAGTATTAACTCTACATTTTTATTTCCTTTTCTGTCATTCTCCCCAGTGCAATTTTTTCTTATGTTGCTGTGACTCAACAGGGTATTGGTTTGAGTAGCTACCAGGACTGGCATTAGGGTGAAAATAGGTAGTAAGGTCCTGACCTCAGGGACAGAATAAGGAGATACCAAAATAACAAGCAAACCAGAAATTAAGATAAACAATATTTTAATGAAATATTTTAAAAGTCAAAATTAATGTCAAACATCTATGACAAACAAAACATAAACATTTTGAAAAATCATAGTGCTGATGTTTTAGTTTTGCCTTAGGCTCCAGTACGGCTCTGCATGGCATCAGTAGAAGCCTCTTTAATCAGAATTTCCCTGGGATGCACTCTGTCAACCTTGCATCTGAGGATGTTCGGTTGCCATAAGTTGATTTTTACATAACTGGTAGGAACAAAGACATTTGAAAACAGTTTACTTCAGTCATTTAAGGTGTTATTTTGTTAACGGCCATTAAGAACTCAGTAGCTAGATTAAACTGATTGTTTTCTTTCTCTCTAAACTGGTTTGTGAATATATAAACCCTACATTATAGATCAACGAAAAATATAAATATTACTTATTAGCATTCTCATGGAAAGCTCAAAGTCCAGGAAAGTTAACACACGGTCAAATAAATAGCATCAGATTCTGAACACTTCTAAGTTGCCTTTTCCACACTCAGGGTAAACCTTATTTTTGGCAAATAAAAAGCAAAAATCACGACACTAACTTTTTTTTTTTTACTTTTATAAATGCGTTAGAACTATTTTGATAATTTTTCTAATGGTTAGAATGAGGGATTTGGTTAGTTTTGTCTAAATAAGTCTTATGAACCATTATTCTACTGCCCTCTATTGTTTCATAGTGAATAATAATGTCCTTGAGCAGGATCAAGTATAAAGTAAAATATCTTTGACGGAGCTGTCATATATAACTGTCTCTATGTATTTATTAATAACCTAGAATATCTCCTGGAAGGCAAAACATATGTGGTTTGTCTTTGGAAATTTACGATTCACTAGGATTTTTGTAAAATGTTGACAGTCATACTTCAGCACAAAATATTAAAATTAACTACATTTAGTTTACTTATTTCGATAAAAATAGTACGTTTAAAAATAACTGTTGAAATATAGAAATGTACAAAGAATATCAAAGTTCTCTAAATCTTATATCCAGAGATAAACACTAATGAAAATTGACTCCATTCTTTCTGAGTTTACTGTACACAATTTTAGTTAAAAAAAAATCACTACCAAATATTGCTAAGTAAACTTTTGTCTTTACGCAACCAGTCTATTTTTCTTCTCAATCAGTTCTTGTTAATATTTTCAGTGGTCAATTGATTAAGAAAATTGCCCATGACGACTCTTGCTAGGAACAATGAGGGCTACTAAAAAAAATAAAACTACTCGGTAACCTCGAGTAGCATATGACAAGTATGGTTGAAACAACCCACTAAAGAACATGAATGGCAGCATGACGTTCTAAAAATGAATCACAACTAAAGAAATAAGAAGCAGAGTAGCAAATGTAGTGTAGCTCACTTCTGCTGTGTGATGATTATGAAAGGCTTTTCTATTTTGGAGAAAGCATGGATGAAGGGGAGGCAAAGGGCATTATTGCAGGTGTCATGTGAAGACTGAGTAAAGCCGAGCATGAGTCTTACTGAGAGTAGTGGAGAAAGGAAGAATAAAGAAGAAAGAGGCCGGGCACGGTGGCTCTACGTCTGTAATCCCAGCACTTTGGGAGGCTGAGGCGGCTGGATCACAAGGTCAGGAGCTCAAGACCAGCCTGGCCAAGATGGTGAAACCCTGTGTCTACTAAAAATACAAAAAAAAAAAAGAAAAAATAGCCAGGCATGGTGACAGGCGCCTGTAATCCCAGCTACTCAGGAGTGTGAGGCAGAAAGTTGCCTGAACCCGGGAGATGGAGGTTGTAGTGAGCCGAGATTGTGCCACTTCACTCCAGCCTGGGATACAGAGCAAGACTCCGACTCTAAATAAATAAATAAATAAGAAAAGAGGGAGGGAGGATCATAGAAAATACTGAGAAATACAGTATTCATATATTCAGATACGTGTTGGCATACTAAAGAGCACAGCTAATAAAAATGTCATCCATGCAAAAAAAGGAAACTTTAAATTTGATCTGAAGCACACGCAGGCAGACATTGAATTTCTGAGCAGGTGAATGATAGGGTAAAAATATAATTTGGCCTTTGGAGATATGTGCAACTGCACAATAAATAAATGTTGACATTAACTGATCATGCAGAATGGTATTTGTAATAACACATTATTGTTAATGATAATCTTCCTATAATTGTAATATACAGGGTAACATTTCCAACACTCCCTAGCCTGCTTAACCTGTCTGCTGTTTATTCATCCATTTATTCATAGGGTAAACATTCATTGTATATCTTATAAGTGAGGGGCATTGTTCCATATCTAACAAGAAAATGAAGATTATTTATTTATATATGTACTTGTGCTGTAGCTTTTCCCAAAAAGGATTTAAGGCAAGGAAGTGTATTAATATATGATTGCATTGTTTAAGAAGGTTATAATCCCAGTGGGGAAGATGATAGGCATGCATAATAAAACAAATAAAAATAAAGAAATTAATGCCATAAGTGGATGTATAAAATCATTCTGTGAATGCTCAAAGGAAGGTAAAACGAATTCCAAATTCCTGAACTAAGGGAGTCTATATAAAAGATATGGTGTAAGAGTAGAGATGTGAAGTACGTAGAATTTTAACAGGGAGAACAGAGAGGAGAGGAGACGAGAGGAGAGGAGAGGAGACGAGAGGAGAGGAGGGGGAAGGAGAGGAGAGCGAGGTATCACATATACACGATATCACCCATATAAATTGAGGTATTTGGCCAGGAATACGACAGCTACAAGTAACAGCAAAACATATGAAGAGGCTACAGTCCAGGTGTATGAGACATTGGTAGGTAGTGATGAGGATGTACTCAGTGCTAGATAATGTCACAAGATTATTGAAGATATTAAATACCATATGAAGTTTGGATTTTTCATTTCTGTGAGAATAAAAGATTTTCAGGCAACCTAGGAAGAATCTATCTGATTTTATAAAGTAATGCTAACAAGAGTATAGAAATGAAATTTAGACATAACAGTTAGGAGACAAAGGACCATAAGGAAAGTTGCTGTAATATTCCAAAGTACATATGACTAAGGCTTTAAGTTTTTGTGATGGGAAAAATGCAAAATTGAAAGTATCAACTGTATATAGTAACTAATTTTATGAGAGAGGGTGAGTATAAGGAGTTGGTGAAATATGATGATGCTTCTAGCTTTAATGATCAAGAGGTCAGTGATTTCAGAAGAATCTTAGATTTTAGAAGAAAGACTACTAATTAAATTGTTTAGGGTATGGGGATTTTTTGGATTACTGTGGTATCTAAGAGGGTATATCACACACAGAACTGTAAAGAGAGATAATAAGATATTAGGACTTCAGGTACAAATTTGGAAGTCATCTTCAGCAAGGAGATTTTAGGTTAAGCCATTGGACTGAAAACAATTTTTCAGGGAGATGTTTCTGAGCTAGAATAAATTAGGATGAAAGACATAACCTAGAGAATATCTATACTTTAAAAGCAGATAAAGGAACAGAGGCATGAAAAAGACAAAAAGAAGTGGTCATACATGCAGGAGGTACAATACAATTGTGATTTATTACTGATATATACTTCAGGTTATTAAAAAGATGTTTTTATTATATTAGACATATGTATTATATTATTCTATTAGGAATAGATATGACCCTGAGTAGCTAGCTTGATTTTATCTGAGTACTGTTATATTCTTTGGCCTATGGACAGAACTCGGATGCAAACTTGTGGTTTTAATTCTTGCAAATGTGTGGGGGCTTTTTTAAATTACCTTATTTATTAAATTATCATTCAATAAAGTTGACTTTTTCAGTGTATAATTATTTGCATTAAATATACATATTTATGAAAGTATCACCACAACCAAGATACAGAACAGTTCTGTCACCCAGAAAACTCCCTCATGCTCTATCCCACCACTTTGTAGTCATGCTCTTCCTCCACCCCATCCTCTGTTCTGTTAATCTGTTCTTCATCAATACCATTTTTTCCAGAATATTTTATAAATAAAACCATACAGTATGTAGCCCTAAAGGACTAGCTACTTTCACTCAGCATAATGCCTTTGATTTACATGCATATTTTTTCATGTATCAATAGTTTACTCCTTTTTATTTTTGAGAAGTATCCCATTGTATAGATATACTACAATTTACCCATTTACCCATTGAAGGATTTTGGGGGTTTTGTTCCAGTTGTTGGCAATTATGAGCAGAGTTGCTATAAATGTATGTTTTGCGTGAATATAACTTCACTTCTGTAAGGTAAACACCCAGAGAAGTTGCTGGTTCATAAGGTAATTGTATTTTTATCTATGTAATAAAGTACCAAACTGTTTTTTAGTGGCATTTTGCATTCCCAACAGCAGTGTATGAAAATGCCAATTGTTTTACATTTTCTCAAGTACCTACTATTTTAGCCATTCTTTATTAGTGCAAAAAGGTGGTCATAATTTTCATTCCCCTAATGGCCAATGATGTTGAATATCTTTTCATTTGCTCATTTGCCATCTCTGTATACTCTTTGATAAAGTTGTGTGTGAGGTTGTAAGGCCTATATTTTACCCTCTGGCTTTATGTTATTTCCATATCTTTATCTTTGCCTCATCTTTTGGTCTTGTTTTAATTTTTTTCATTCCTTCTCTACTGTATATTCTTTTATAAGCCACTTTCAATATTCCTGGAATAAGTTTGGTGGGTAAGATGGGAGAGAAAACATAATTACATATAAATAGTTAAATATGCAAATAAGTATAATCTTTCCTGGTTTTAAAAACTAGAGAAAATATTAAATTCTCTCGAGGGAATTTCTAATTTACCTAATCAGATTTGTAACTATGTAGTCATATAAAGGAAGCTTGGTTGAAGATTAATCAGGAACAGAAAGACTCCTATTTTTTTCCTTACTACTTCCTTATAGATAGGACTGTTTTGATGAGGACCAAAGATAGATTGGAATCTGAAATGTTTTAATCAATGAAATTCACATTTGCAGAAAAGTACAGGCACTTGCTATAAATTTAAACAAAATGCTTGTTTTTTCTATTTAGGACAGACTGGCATACAGATTGTATTACGATGACCTGAAAGCCTTAGGGCAAGAGGTACCTTCTAAATAAATACAGTACTGTTATTTCCCCAGGCTCTGAAGAGAGGTTCTGGAACATCAGCCAGAGCTTAATTAAGGAGTCTCTGCATTGCTGAAACAGTCTCTAGCAGCTTTCTCCTGGCTGCTTGAAGAACTGTCCAGCAAATGAATTGCTGAAAACCAATATGGCATTTACGCTGTAATTAGCTCAAATAAACCTGTAATAAAATGGCAGACCTTATGACTTCCATATCACATTTTCTCTCATATCACTGGTTGATGTAGAGCAATGGAAATTTTCCAAAAAGATAAAAAAAATTAAATGCCAAGTATGTTTCTGTTTTATTACCTCAAATTAACACCATATATTATGAAGTCCTAATCCCAATCTGGTTTTAAAAACTAGAGAAAATATTAAATTCTCAGGCATCACAGAATTAATCAGATATTGGCTTAGGAAATTACATGAGAATAATGTGAGAACTTAGAGAGACAATAAAATACAGGTTAGAGAACTGAGTTGGAAGCATAAAATATTTTCTTTCAAATTTTGATGATTTTCAACCCTTTTGTGTATAATTTAAGCAATAATTTTCATCACAATTTTATTAGATATTGATGTGGAGGAAGACTTTCAAGAAAAAAAACGCAGTGGAAAATTAAAATGTAATTATAAGGATTAGTCATTTCAAATAAAAATAAAGTTATTTCATATGGTTCTTGGATTATTGTGAAAAAATGACATATTTTTGAATTTATTAAAATTATCTTCATGCAGAGAGACATTTCTGACAGCCTTTAAATCAAGCTTAATTCAAAACCTATTAAAATACACATCTTTAAAAAGGCTTGCTGATATTAACTTTTTTACACTGAATACATGCTTAATTTCCCTTTAATATACCTCTTTATTAATCAATATTTAAATGAAAATGCTATTTCACATTAATATCTGCCTGTGGCCAAAATTCTAATTCTCATTACCCATGTTACTATTTGCTGGAGATAATTAGAGGAAGAATGAGATATCACATAGACCCTCTTAAAATTCACAGCATACTTTACAATAATGACTTCAATGTTTTTCCATGCTCTAGAAAGCTTATGCAGCAATTATTCATTTGCTTCCATTTTCCTGTGATGCTTCATCATTGCAAACAGAAAAGAAAAGAGAATACAATCTGAGCAAGAAGGTGAGGTTTTGAATGCTAAAAGAAAAAGAAAAAGAAAAGAAAGAGAAGTTCTATTGGGCTCTGAGCTATTGTGAAGGAAATCAAACAAAGTGAATGATCCCAAGGGCTAGCCTTGATGCTTGCAAAATGTCAAAAAGCAGTGACTGAGTGACATTACTTGGGACTTAAAAAGAAACCTGGTGTGACTGCAATTCATAAGATCTGATGCAGGAATGGGCATCAAATCTTCCCTCTCCTTTCCTCAAGGATATATATATATATATATATATATATATATATATATATATATATGTATGTATGTATGCAAAATAAAATGAACAGTAATTATCTATATACTCACAATTGTTAGGTTAATACTGAAAACTGAATCCTAAGTACCAAATAAGTAGAGAAATTAAATCAAGTATTTCTTCAGGACTGGCATCAGCTTTTCAGCATAATCTTTTGAGACTGGTGATTAGTAAACTGTATCTTGTGTTACAGGTCAGTTATTTTCAAAGTGTGTTTTCTGGATAAGCAGCATCAGCATGACCTTGGAACTTAGACCCCAGAACTACTAAATCAGAACCTTTGCATTGGGTATTCCAGCAATCTTCATTTTAACAAGCCCTTTTGGGGGATTCTGATGTATTCTAAAATTTTAGAACCATTGATCTAGGTAAAACTATGACACACTGGTGTAATCTAGAGGTAGTTTTTTTTTATTTATTTGCTTATCTATTTATTGAGCTTCTACTAGGTGTCAGGCCCTAGACATATTGTGAGCAACATAACCTAGTCCCTGACCTTGAGCGGTTTACAATCTAGAAACAACAGACAAGCAAAAAGCAAGCAAATAAAATAAAGTTGTGATATAAAGGTTATTAAATAAATAAAGAAAGTACTGGAATAGGAATAACAGGGAGAAAACTACTTTAAATGACAAGATCATGGAAGGTTTTTTTTTTAAGGAGATAATAAAACATCTATTTTCAACAAATGGCCTGGGGTTGAAAGCATCATCATTACTTAGGAGCTTATTTGAAATAAAGAATCTCAGGACTTACTCAAAACTTTCTGAATCTGTGTCTGCTTTTGAACAAGGTCTCTAGATGTCAGATGATTTGTAAGCACAATAAGAAGCCATAATGTAAAGGAAAAGAAAAAGCCAACCATGGTGGGTTGGCATGCTGCAGTCAGTAAAATCATCATGTGCAAAGGCCCTGTAACAGGAAAAATCTTAGTATGAATTTTAGAGTCTCCATGGAATTCAAACATTTATTCCCATGCAAGCAGATTTAATCCCATTAGAAGCGCATAAGAAAAGTTGCTCTGCCACTTCCTGTTATTAAGAACATAAAATCATGGTCCATCACCCATTTTTTTTCCGGTAAATCCCAGAAAAACTGTTTAGAGGTATCTGTAAGGAAATTTAATTTCCTGACCCTTATTTTTCTTGATGACAAAGCTGTGTGGTCACGTTCTTATTCGTCTCACAATTCTGGTTATATATAACCACTCAGGATTTGCATGACTTGTGATTTTTGAAAAAGATGACTTAATTAAATAATTTAAATATTTTATGTAACTACTTCATTGCATGAGCAATTTTGATACTCCAATAACCGTTATTGTTATAAGTACTATTCATATAACATAAAGAGACTAAATATACTCAGAGGTAGAGATTGTTAAATTCTAGAAAATTCAGCTTTTTGTCAGTTCACTTAATGTGATATTCAATTTTTGATACAGTGATAACCAATATGAGGCATGGAACTGAGAAACGGAATAAAAACCTGGAAAAGAATAACATTACTACCTCACCCTATGGATGATTACTACAAGATACCTATCCCTGAGCTACGCACTAGGTGTAATAGAGAGAGAGACATCTAACAAGAAAATAATTCTGTAACATTTGTATTCTCATATCCTGTATCTCATATTTTCAGTTGAAAATGCTAAGAGAGTCAAATCCCATTACTGGGTATATACCCAAAGGACTGTAAATCATGCTGCCGTAAAGACACATGCACACGTATGTTTATTGCGGCACTATTCACAATAGCGAAGACTTGGAACCAACCCAAATGTCCAACAATGATAGACTGGATTAAGAAAATGTGGCACATATACACCATGGAATACTATGCAGCCATAAAAAATGGTGAGTTCATGTCCTTTGTAGGCACATGGATGAAGCTGGAAACCATCATTCTCAGCAAACTATCACAAGGACAAAAAACGAAACACCGCATGTTCTCACTCATAGATGGGAATTGAACAATGAGAACACATGGACACAGGAAAGGGAACATCACACTCTGGGGACTGTTGTGGGGTGGGGGGAGGGGGGCGGGATAGCATTAGGAGATAATACCTAATGCTAAATGATGAGTTAATGGGTGCAGCACACCAGCATGGCACATGTATACATATGTAACTAACCTGCACATTGTGCACATGTACCCTAAAACTTAAAGTATAATAATAATAAAATAAAAAAAGAAAATGCTAAGAGATTAATTATTTTTCTGAGGTTTAGACAGTAGGACACACTGGCAGGGTAGGGTATGCAGTAGGGGAGGCGGCTGGACTGAGTGGCAGAATTTAAACTCAAAGCTGTGTGATTCTCAACAATTACTTGAATTACGGTGCTTTCCAAACATCAGCCATTATTTTACTTCTATTGCAATACTGTTACACCCAAATGAAACTTATACTGCTATTACTTTATTTACATAAACAAATTTTAAATGTATCCCTCCCATAAATGAAAGTATATGCTTTTAAATTGATAGAAAATACACTGACAATAAATTAAGCAAAATGATAGTATTTAATTCTATCTATACACTGTTGATAACCTGATGCTGAGGATTGTGAATTGTGAGGACCACTCTAAAAAATAAAAATTACCTTATGGTCAAGAGAGTTAGAGCAATGACGACCAGACTAATGCTGTGGCTAATTTTGGTTGAGCAAGAATTGAAAAGGGAGTAACTTGTTCACCTTCAATATCATTTAATGTCTATTCCATAAATCACTTAATTGTATATGGTCAGAGTAGAGCAACCCAAACACTGAGAACTATTAGATTACACTTCATGTTCAAATGTTGAAGCGAAAACAGGCCCTTTTCCACTATATTTTTAAGTAGTAAGCTTATTTCCTAGTTGATATTGTATTTACAATGTCAATGGATCAAATAACTTTAAACATATTTCTTATGAATATAGAATGTAATAGAGTAAAATCAAGAAGATGTATTGAGATTAGATGATCCCTGAGCACTGGACCAGCTCTCATGCTCCATCATACTGATTCTGGGATAAATAGAGACTGAAGAACAGAGACCTGGGTTCAATCTTGGACTGCCACAAATTAGTTTGGTTACCATGTCAGGTAACTTCTTTAGGCCATAGTTTCCTAAGAATAGTAAGAGAAAATAACAAGAGTGACTAATTGATAGCATTATTGGGTGTTTAAATGAGACAGCATGTAAGATTTAGTAAGGTACCTAGCACATGGTAAATGCCCAATATATGTTGCTATGATAATAATTATTATTATATGCAACAGTGGGGTAACAGAGAAGAAGCACCAATTTTTTGAATGCATACTATTCTTCATTTGCAAATTAAGCTGCAAATGGCAAGTAATGGCATGTCTTTCTTGGCAAATTTTTAGTACGATTTCCATCAGATAGATTGCTGTGTGTAAATAGGCTATTTGTATGACTTTTGAAAAATGTATACTAATTTTTGGAGTAAATTTGAACTCAAATAAATTCCAATGATACCTGGAGTTATTTGAACATCACAGCATAGACTATGCTTTTCAAAAATTTTTGTTTCTGTTATCCACCTTCACAGTGCCTTCCCCGCCACAGTCATCAGAATGAAACATTGATATCACGATGATCATAACTCAAAATTTGACAGTCATATGCAGTATTTAAAAATTACTTCCAGTCCCTGGGACTTACTCAGCAAATAGGAAAAGGTTTATTTTTTAAAAAACTCACAAATCTTCAAAAAGTGGATTGTTTCAACATTAATAGAAGTATATGGAAGAAGCACATTATATAAGAAAATATTTTTTTCTTACTAGATATGATTTAAATTATGACCATTATGATGACTCTTTATTCTTACAACCAACACATTCTGGGCATCTGTCTGCTATGTTCGTCTCTCTAGTCTTATGAATAAATAACATATTTGGGGAATTATAAAATATATAATACATATCATATTCTGGCATGAGTTTAAAAATTGCAATATAAGGAATAGCATGCATTTTACTCAATGCTTTAATAGTTAACATTTAGTAATTGCAGCATACTTAGTTTCTTCTGTTCTATGTTATAAGTATTAACTCACTGAATCCACTCAGCAAGAACCCGTATTACAGATGATGAAACTGAGATACAGCCCAAGTCCCACAGCTAGTAAGTGGTGGCACAAGGTTTAAACTCACAGTCTGGTGTCAGTGGTGACCATACTCCAATGAGTTTATAATTATAAATAATGATAGTAGCAATAACAATTAAGTCTCTTTTATGAACTGCAGGTATGTTTATACCAATTTTTACAAGCAACTTTGTTTTTATCTTATTGATTGCAAAACCATACACTGTACATTATAATGAATAAAAAATAGAAGAAAATGGAAGACAGTTCTTTCTGTAGTTTTTTCTCAGATGTTATCTACTGAATAGTTGATAAAGCATTGAGTCTAACCTTCTTTCATCATGACAATGTTTTTTTTTCTATTTAGAGTATTTAGTATCAGGTTTCATGACCTTTAAAGCAAATTTCTTCTGGATTCATGTGCTGGAAAGCAACCCAACTAATTCTATTCCCAAGACAAGTACCTTCTCTGAACTTCATATAGATGTCTTCCAAAACTGAAACACATTCAGAAATCTTTATATAGCAGTTTCTGTGTTTGCTATATAATGTCTTCTTGCTGGTCACTTGTTATTTTATACACCATCTTGATTTGCTGACCGTGATTCTCAACAGCCAGTAGAACTGTGGATTCTGGAACTAAACCAAGTATCATCACACCTTTACTTAATTGTACAATTTAAATAATTAAAACAGTGTAATTAGACTGTAACACAAGGGGTACATGTTTGAGGGGATGGATACCCCATTCTCCATGAAGTGATTATTTCACGTTGCATGCCTGTATCAAAAAACATCTGATGTACCCGAAAAATATATACAGCTACTATGTATTCACAAAAATTAAAAAATGTTTTTAAAAAGTATCATCACACCTAGGTCAGCCACCACTTTTTATTTCTCAATCATATATAAACTGAGACACACCATGTAATCAACTATCAGGAATTATTCCATGAAAGCATTAATAAAAATGACATAGTTATTAGGGATGATCATAACATTGAATTTCATGGCCCCTTTTCCTCCATGAACTCTCCTCTGCTAACAGAAGTCTGTTACCTGATTTCATTGCCAAAGTTACCTGTCTGTTTCTAAGATTCATATGTATTTCCATGAAATAATCTTCTTTAATATATAAATTATTAGAAGTAGCAATGGAATAATCAAGAAAACAATAGAAAAATTAAAAGTATAATGATGGTAATTGAAAGAAAACATAGACTTTCTTTATACTTGCTATGAGTCCCTAGGCCAAGTGCTTTCCATACAATTTCATTTAATCCTCACAAAATTCCTATGCTGTAAGTACTATTTGTGTGTTTGTCTTCAAAATGAGAAAACTGAAATTCAGAGTACTTAAGTAACTGACCTAATAGAATACATTTTGTAGGTATCAGGACTAAAAATACAAACCCAAGTCTGTCTTATGTGAGGTAAATTATTTGAACTCTGCAGGTAGTAAATAATAACATCTAATGTCTATAAAACGAGCAGTTCACAACATCCAGATGGAAATTTGGAATGATCTTTTAAAATGATGTCATATATGAAAATTAATAGTTTAGAGTTAAAATAATATCAGTACTTATGTTCTATGTTGCAACAAAGTTAATGGAAAATTATACTCATGATGAGAAATATGAATTACACCTTGCAGAATGATGTGTAGTTGAATGCAAATGAGCCTCACTTTGCAAAGTGCCTATTGAAGAGTTCAGTGTCAGCAAAACTGACCCGCTCATTATCGACTGGAAAAGGTCTTAATATTTGTTTTGGATAAAAATAAACTAGAGATGAAGTCAGTGCTCCGAGGTAAGTTATTTCCTGCTACTAGGGTGAGAAGTCAGATGTACTTAAAAAGCTTGCTGAGCAAGTGTACAAAGTTCGTCATATTTTCACATATAGATGATGGTGATTGGTGACTAAGACTCATGCTTGGAAAGAATATTCTATTAGCAATGATTTAAAAATACTACTGTTTATTAACTCAAATGTAGTTAGATAAGGTACCACATGCTGTATCCACAAGATAGAACAAAACATTATTCATGTTACAAAAAGAAACTTGAAACTGCTAAAGGTGCCTAGCTGATGACATAGATAATAGAGACAGGCAAAACTAGAGAGATGAACTATCTTTCAGCAACATCTCCTGTAAGATAGGTTGCTACATTAGAAAAAAATATTGATGAATATTTAAGAGATTTATATACTATCAGTGGCTCTAGGCTTATCTGATTTTCTACCTCTTTCTTATTCATAAGAAAGATATCCACTGGATAAGATAACATCAAATATTTATTTAGTTCTGAAATACCTTGATTTTAGAATTCAGCGGCTAGATCTTTAACTCTGCCATAATCATGGACTTCTTGTTAGCTACTGAATGGCTACAAGTAATTTTGGAAAGATAACTTCACATGATTTAGGGATCTGATACTTGAAGTGTTCAAAATTAACAGTCTACTGATCAACTATTCTGTGGCAGACTGAGTGCTAAGTACTTTACACTGCTGACTTATCTTCACAACTCTGTAAGATCCAAGTGGTGGCTCTATTAGAGATAGGGAAATTGAGATTTACAGAAATTGCCTAAGGTCACACTCCTAGTGAGGGACATGCAATAATTAAGAGACATTTTTAAACATTGTTGTTTATCTGACATTCAAATTTAACTGGGTATCCTGTATTTTTATTTGCTAAATTGGGCAACCTTAATCTAGGTTCATCTTATTCCAAAGTCTTCAAATGTATTGTATTCTGCTGAATTTATTGTTTTTTTATCCATTTACATTTTCTCATGAGAATTTCACAATAAATCTAAGAGGAAGACAGTATTTTCCATGTAGTATTCCGGATGTAAAAAGAAGTCAAATATTTTTCAATGTCAAATGAGTATTGTTTGTGAGATGCCATTTTCCTATGTTGCAATTATAGGATTTTGATGCTATAAAGTCCCTAGGCTTTGAATAAAATTTCAGCATTGTGCATGGTACATGGTAAGTGTTTAATAGATGTTTATTGATGATGATTTTGTTAGTGCCATCATCATTACTGTTATTACTACAGGAGTCATCAAGACTGTCTAAGATTTAGAATCTTTTGTATACACAGATACATAGGGTTTCTCTAGAAAAATAGGAGAACTACAAACCACTGCTCAGTGAAATAAAAGAGGATACAAACAAATGGAAGAACATTCCATGCTCATGGGTAGGAAGAATCAATATCATGAAAATGGCCATACTGCCCAAGGTAATTTATAGATTCAATGCCATCCCCATCAAGCTACCAATGACTTTCCTCACAGAATTGGAAAAAACTACTTTAAAGTTCATATGGAACCAAAAAAGAGCCCGCATTGCCAAGTCAATCCTAAGCCAAAAGAACAAAGCTGGAGGCATCATGCTACCTGACTTCAAACTATACTACAAGGCTACAGTAACCAAAACAGCATGCTACTGGTACAAAAATAAAGATATAGATCAATGGAACAGAATAGAGCCCTCAGAAATAATGCCACACATCTACAACTATCTGAGCTTTGACAAATCTGACAAAAACAAGAAATGGGGAAAGGATTCTCTATTTAATAAATGGTGCTGGGAAAACTGGCTAGCCATATGTAGAAAGCTGAAACTGGATCCCTTCCTTACACCTCATACAAAAACTAATTCAAGATGGATCAAATACTTACATGTTAGACCTAAAACCATAAAAACCCTAGAAGAAAACCTAGGCAATACCATTCAGGACATAGGCATGGGCAAGGACTTCATGTCTAAACACCAAAAGCAATGGCAACAAAAGACAAAATTGACAAATGGGATCTGATTAAACTAAAGAGCTTCTGCACAGCAAAAGAAACCACCATGAGAGTGAACAGGCAACCTACAGAATGGGAGAAAATTTTTGCAACCTACTCATCTGACAAAGGGCTAATATCCAGAATCTACAAAGAACTCAAACAAATTTACAAGAAAAAAACAAACAACCCCATCAAAAAGTGGGTAAAGGATATGAACAGACATTTCTCAAAAGAAGACATTTATGCAGCCAAAAGACATGTGAAAAAATGCTCATCATCACTGGCCATCAGAGAAATGCAAATCAAAACCACAATGAGATACCATCTCACACCAGTTAGAATGGCAATCATTAAAAAGTCAGAAAACAACAGGTGCTGGAGAGGATGTGGAGAAATAGGAACACTTTTACACTGTTGGTGGGACTGTAAACTAGTTCAACCATTGTGGAAGTCAGTGTGGTGATTCCTCAGGGATCTAGAACTAGAAATACCATTTGACCCAGCCATCCCATTACTGGGTATATACCCAAAGGACTATAAATCATGCTGCTATAAAGACACATGCACACATATGTTTATTGTGGCACTATTCACAATAGCAAAGACTTGGAACCAATCCAAATGTCCAACAATGATAGACAGGAGTAAGAAAATGTGGCACATATACACTATGGAATACTATACAGCCATAAAAAAGGATGAGTTCATGTCCTTTGTAGGGACATGGATGAAGCTGGAAACCATCATTCTCAGCAAACTATTGCAAGGACAAAAAAACCAAACACTGCATGTTCTCACTCATAGGTGGGTATTGAACAATGAGAACACATGGACACAGGAAGGGGAACATCACACCCCGGGGCTTGTTGTGGGGTGGGGGGAGGGGGGAGGGATAGCATTAGGAGATATACCTAATGTTAAATGATGAGTTAATGGGTGCAGCACAGCAACATGGCACAAGTATACATATGTAACAAACCTGCACGTTGTGCATATGTAACCTAAAACTTAAAGTACAATTAAAAAAAAAGGAAAATAGCTTCACAGATGACATATTGTCACATCTGATAAGCAACTTGAAATCATTCGCAAAACAGGAGGCAAACACAAATGTTGAATCAGAGAAGAAATTGGTCATGTTTGAGAGGCTACCAATGGGTCTCTGACTAATTTAACTGGACCATAAATGCTTTAGGAATCACCAGAGTAGAAAAACAAAAAATTGATTTAACTTATAAGTACCCCCCACTCCTCTGTTCTCTACAGGGAAGAGTACAACATGAAGGAAAATTGATTCTGATTTACCCTTCTCTGACTATCCACATGACCTAGGACAACTTATTTGGCTCCTCTAAACTCTGGGTTTACATCTTTCAAATGTGGATAACTTATATCATTGGGTGGTTGTGGCTGTTAAATGAGATACATGTGCAAAGTGCTCACTTAGCACATTGTCCAAATAAATGCTGGCTATTAGTATTGATAATTTTCTTTCTCCATTCCTATTTAAAATACTTTGGTGCCCTTTCACAAATTACTTGAAATGTGATTTAACTGTGGTTTCTTTACTGTGTTTTTTTTTTTGTTTTGTTTTGTTTTTTGTGAGACAGAATCTCTCTCTGTTGCCAGGCTAGAGTACAGTGGTGTGATCTCAGCTCACAGCAATCTCTGCCTCCCACGTTCAATCAATTCTCCTGCCTCAGCCTCCTGAGTAGCTAGGACTACAGGCGTGTGCCACCACGCCCAGCTAATTTTTGTATTTTTAGTAGAGACAGGGTTTCACCATGTTGACCAGGATGGTCTCAACCTCTTGACCTTGTGATCCATCCACCTCAGCCTCGCAAAGTGCTGGGATTACAGGCGTGAGCCACCGTGCCCGGCAATTTAACTGTGGTTTCAATGAAGCTGACTCACCTGGTTAAATCTGTCAAAATAATTTATGGCTGTAGATTTAATCTAAGTTGCCTATACCCTAATATTTGGGCTCAATTAGGCCAGATTAATTAATTTTTTTCACGGCTGTCCCACTGGGCTGTTTAGGATTAATGGCTTAATGGCTTTGTTCCCACCTTAACATCATTTTTCAGGAGAACTAACTCGTGCAGGAAACGCCCATGATGCTGTAATAAAAAACAAACTAAAATTAATAAAATTAATCTTTGTAAATTCTTCCAAACAAAGGCCTAGTATAACTAGCACTTTTTACTGCTACTCTTCCCTTCGTTTCCAGTTTATACTGGGGTTTTAGTTTTAACGTATCTCTTGGTAACAAATGTTCACAAAGCTTCCAGCCACCATCACTGAACATTAATACCTTATTTTAACTGCGGCCGGGCATGGTGGCTCATGCCTGTAATCCCAGCACTTTGGGAGGCCAAGGAGGGTGAATCACTTGAGGTCAGGAGTTCGAGACCAGTCTGGCCAACATGGTGAAACCTCATCTCTACTAAAAATACAAAAATTAGCCAGGCGTGGTGGCGCACGCCTGTAATCCCAGCTAGTCAGGAGGCTGAGGCATGAGAATTGTTTGAGCCAGGGATGTGGAAGTTGCAGTGAGAAGAGATCCTGCCATTGCATTCCAGCCTGGGCAACAGAGCAAGACCCTGTCTCAAAAAAAATACCTTTTTATAACTGGATTTCAAATTATTTTCTTACTCACAATCTTGTTCATCTGTCTTGAGATAGACTTATTAAAAACAGTCAAACTGTAATCACAGTGATGCCTTGTAAGCGATTATTCTCTGCTGGGAGGCTATAGCAGGTTTTAAGCAAAAACAAACAAACGAACAAAAGCTGAAATCCAGAAATCAACTCGCAGTCTACTTCTGCTTCTATCTGGGAAGGCTATGTCAACACTTCAAGTTGCAACTTATTTTCATACTAAAAAGTGTTCCTGGCTGGGCATGGTGGCTCACATCTGTGATCCCAGCACTTTGGGAGGCCGAGGCGGGTGGATCACGAGGTCAGGAGATAGAGACAGTGAAACCCTGTCTCTAGTAAAAATACAAAAAAAAAAAAAAATTAGCTGGGCGTGGTAGCAGGTGCCTATAGTCCCAGCTACCGGAGAGCCTGAGGCAGGAGAATGGCATGAACCCGGGAGGCGCAGCTTGCAGTGAGCCGAGAACACACCACTGCACTCCAGCCTGAGCAACAGAGTGAGACTCTGTCTCAAAACAAAGAAACAAACAAACAAAAAACACAGTGTTCCTGTCCAAAAGTAGAATTCAATCGCCCAAGGGAAACTTTTAAGATGATTACCTGGAATAGTATAGTGGCATTCACATCCAATTTGCTTCTGTTTCAGGAAAAACAAAAAAATAGAGCCACTCACAATGTTAGAGGTCACTGTCTCCAAAGTCTACAGGGCAAGATAGGTAACAGCAGCTTCTAACCTACAGTTGATGTCTGCCTTGTAGGAATAGAGTCTGGTGCTGTATTATTCTGCCATTTTTCTACACAAGAAGAAAGAAGTATAGACTTTGAGTGAAGTTGTTGACTGTTAAATATTGGCAGCTAATTTAACTATTTGAAATATGTTTGTTACTCAAAACTTTCAGGCAAGACCCAGTTGATGAACTATTGGATGAAGACTTGTTTTAACAAGTCCTGAAAGATTGCCCAAATTCATTATTTTTAAAAGATCTTAACTTGAACATAAAATAGTGCTAGAGTTAGTGAGATGCACTATCATTTTACAGGTACGATATGCAGTATCTCTGCAGTTTGTCACAATTTTTCCCGGCCTTTGTTGACCATTGGCTTAATGAAGTCCACTGTAGGATACACACCAAAGGAACTGTGATATTTCTTCCTATTGAGTGAAAAGAACACTCTTTGCTAATGCCATAACAATAAGCCAAAGAGCCATGTTCCTTTAGGCTCTTCCCTTGGGAACTCTCCTTTAATTACTGGTAATATTATAATAATTATCCTCATTGGGTAGGTTCTCTTAATTTTTTTCTATTACTCCGCTTCATGTGACTCCAGACCTCCAAGTCTGACAAAGAATAATCAGTGATAACATGCCTGAGACTTCATAATAGGTTACATTATTATATTTAGGGAGTTGTCTCATCCTATGAACAACAATTATCCAATAATTTTAAAGATGAGTACCTTTCTGCCAAGTGACAGAGAAGGAGCATTGCTTTCTTGGACAAACAGCATCATTTTAAGTTCCCCTTGATTAAATCCAGCCTGAAAACATCAGCCTAATGACTAATGTCAGCATGACCATAAACCACAAGTGACATCTCTGACCAGAAACATTCCAACCCTGAGATAAACCCCCCTCTGACCAGAAACATGGCAGCCCCGAGATAAGCTCCCCTCCCACCAGAGAGATTCCAACCCTGCAATAAAACTCTCCTCCACACAGAAACATTCTGAGCCTGTGAAAAGCTCTCCCTCCCTAAACTACTTTTTTTTTTGTTTTTTTTGAGACAGTCTTGCTCTGTCGCCCAGGCTGGAGGGCAGTGGTGCGATCTCGGCTCACTGCAATCTCCGCCTCCTGGGTTCACGCCATTCTCCTGCCTCAGCCTCCCAAGTAGCTGGGACTACAGGTGCCCGCCACCACACCCAGCTAATTTTTTGTATTTTTAGTAGAGACAGGGTTTCACTGTGTTAGCCAGAATGGTCTCAATCTCCTGACCTCATGATCCGCCCGCCTCAGCCTCCCAAAGTCTGGGATTACAGGCATGAGCCACCATGCCCAGCCTCCCTCCCTAAACTCTTAAATACTCTTTAGTCTGTAAGAGACAATGCTCCTGACCGAAAGTAGCCAGAAGCCCCTCTCAGGTTTATTCTCCAAAATAAACCTGTCTTTGACTGCTGAGCCACTTTTTGTGTTTTTTCTTCTTTCCTTAACTCTTTAACTCTTACATTTATTGCCAAAACCCAGTATGGGTGTTGGGGGTAGAGGCTCTCTTGGAACCCAGGAAGCAGTTGGCAGCAGCAGCTTGTCCTACACTAACTCCTGGACCCTGAGAGTCTTTGGCCACACACTCCATCTTTCCTGTCACTTCAGTTTTTGAGCAATTTGCAAAGGAGGAAAACTAATCTGAAGGGAACTGCTAGGGTGGGGCTGGGGCTACTCACTGGTGGGCTCTCAAAACCCTCAAGTCTCAGGAATTCACCTCTGACTGTCCACAATGGGTATTTCACTCTCTCACCCTTGTCCCCTCTTCCTCCCTCCTCAAGGTCTCTGTGTCTGTCTCTGTCTCTCTCTCTCCTTCTCTCTGCCTCTTCCTTGCATGGTTCCAGTCTTGGAGGCCCTTTGCCAATTCCAATCAGAACATCCAGCATCAAACACTAATCCAGCTGAATGATAAGATTTGCCTTCCCCTGGCTTTCTCACAGTACCCAGGAAAGTCAGGTCTGCCATCTCTGTCCTCGGAGGACCAGTGGGACTAAGCTAGCAGAAATCTTAGAGATACCCAGTTTGTTCTCAGCTTAACCATCCTCTTCAGAAAGAGGATTCTGGGTCTCTGTCTTTTGTCTGGGGATGCCTAGAACAAAAACAGACACCCTCAGCCTCCTCTTACCACTCCACGTGGGTGCCAAACAATCCCACATTCCTCCCCACTGAGCTGTCTCCTTCACAACCTTGCCAAACTTGGCTTACAGGGGAGCCTAAAGCCAAAGCCTTTAGTTTTTTTAATTACAGCATGGTCTGGCCCCAATACAAATTAGATAATGACAGCTGATGGCCCAAAAATGGCACCTTTGACTTTCAAATTCTCAAGGATCTTGACAACTTTATAACCAGGAATGGCAAATGGCAAGAGGTTCCCTATTCAGGCTTTCTTATACCTTAAATCCCAACCCTCTTTATGTCAAGCTTGCACCCCTCATGCAATCCTTCTTCATGAAAACCCTCTCTGGGTATCTTCTTCCACTAAAACTAATGTTTACTTATTATTTAATTTTCTTATCTCATTACATAGGCTAGCATTTCCAAAAACTGTGGACAAAACACATTAATAGTAGGAATCCTTGTTTTAGTTCCTATTAATAGAAATATCTCAAGTGTTCCACTGTTATATTTGAGGTTCTTATTTGATTTAATAATCTAAGAATTTTTTAAAATTTTTTCGGTATTAGTTTATTATGTGTTTTCTTTAGGAACTTGTGTTTAATTCTCTATAACGATCTTTAGCAGCACCCAAGACAATTTTGTTCTGCTTGGTTTATTAATGTGATTCATTAGAGATGTTGAACCAAGCTTACCTTCCTAAAATAAAGTCAACTGAATCACATAAAATTATTTATTATGCTGTAGATATACTTTGAAAATGACTAGTATATTTATATCTATATTCAAAAGTAAGATTATTATACAATGTAATGTTTCAATGTTGCCTGGATTATTTCTGAATGTATTTCATTTCCCTCTTTTACAATACTTCTTCTGTCCATATTTAGAAGACCATGTCCTTTCTTGGGAATATAAGACTGACAGAATACCTTAGAACCAGAGGAGAAAATGCAGCAGATATGACAGTCAAGAAATGAAATGTTAGCAACAGAAAATGTACTGTCACTCAGAAAAAAAAAGTTGATGTAAAGACACAGGAGAAATCTTTTTACTGTATCTCCAAAGTAATAATTATCCATTATGTAGTATGGTTTGATAATATGTCTATTTTCATGTCTACATATTGTCACTTGAGAAAATGAATGAGAAAAATAAACTTAATACCTAAGAGCAGGAGAATATTAAATTTAAATGCTACTTTATTTATACAATTGCTTGTCATTTTGGTACATAGCTCCAATATTTGAGTGTTTTATTTTATGATACTTTAAATAAAATAAATTTCAATGTGAGTTTTTTACTCTCGATATATGCATTTAATTATTTTAGTTAACTAGCTATATTCACCCTAAAATTAATGGAAAGAAACAGCAAAACAGGTATTTATTTTTAGATTTGGGGCTTACTCAAATATTATGCTCTACTGGAGAAAGAGAAAATTAAGGAAAAAATGAAAATTATCTTTCAAAATCATAACTTCCATAAAAACTGTCAGAGTATCTTATAAAAAGTATCTATCACTGCATCTCAATAAGGTAGAAATCATTCTCATTTTAAATAATTGTTTGTCACCTTATAGATTAACATAGCTGGAGATTTTACAGTAATTTACAGAGTTCCTTTATAAACTCAATTGCTTTTACATAAATTAAAAAAATCTCCATATAAAGGAATAATATATATTTAGCAAGAATACATATAATTAAAAATAAATTCATTAAGCATGATAGGAGGACTGCCTATAATGAAAAGAGAAATGGGAATAGAGTGTGTAGGGGTAAGTGACAAAGAAGAAATTTGACAAAAGCTTCTTATGATTAAGCTACTGTAAGTAAGTAAACTAGATATTGTTGGATGCTACCCTGAGACTTTTAGGGTATAATTAGTTGTTGTCAAAAATAATAGTTTTCTACTGATCTAAAGGTGATGCCACCTCTAAAATCTGCTCATTAAAAACCAGGGAAAGATTAACATGCTAGGAAAATATGGCCCCTTACTTTTGTCTGATTAAAGATATTATATAGTTCTAATTCAGAAATTTTTTATGTATGTATCATGGGGAAAACTCTTGAACCTCCTGCACTCACATTCTTTTCTCAGAGACGAAAAAGAAGATGGTGAGTTCACTTTTCACCTCAATAAAACCCTTTACATAAAGTTTGCTAACTGCCATATATTGTAGGACCTATTGGGCCAATTTGGGAAGTTTCGATGGAAATTTTGATTTCTGGCCTATCTTGTGGTAAGAGTTGGGGCTAAATATTTTGAAGACTTCACATTCCAACCAGCTATGATTGGCAGGTGTTAAAAAAAGCTCCTTCCCATCTAGCAGCCCCCATCCTGCCATTAAGATGTTATATCACTTGAAGTTTGTCACAATCTCCACCTCTAATTATTCCCTGTCTCACACTGAGATGGAGTATTTATTCATATTCATCATTGTGTTTACATAGCAGTTTTCCTAGTATCAGAAGAAATGGGATTTATTATCTCCTCCCATGTCGCTGTGAGAAAAGATCATGACAAACTAAAAGGCCTGGCTATTTTAGCATAAATGGAAGAAAGCAATTCTCTAGGTAGAAATGATGATTCCATTCCACCTGATCTCCTTCAATCAAGTTACCACCCTGGCCCATGAAAGCATTTGTGTTTGGGATTTCCTCTGTACATAATCACAATTATAAATAACTAAAATTAATACTCTAATAATTAAGACAATATTTTTCATGCTAGTTTAGAGGGTTGTGGAATATTTCTGGAAGATTCTTAATGCATAGTATTACCAGTTTTAGTAAATTAACTGATTAACCCAAATAAGCATAAACCTTTAGGAGAGAAATCATAGTAACCCTTATGAATTACTGCCTCACACTCCAAACTCATAAAACTTCCTGACTGCCTTGTCTCCCTGGGAGCAAAATATTTGGTAGATTTAGTAATTTTCATAAAACTTCAATCGAGCATTTTAATTTCTAGCCTATCTCGTGGAAAGAGTGGGAGCTAAAAATACTGAATTTTGTTTACTGTGTAAAATAAACATTCTTTCTGTGTTGCTATTGTTGATATTTTCCATGGTTTAACCAAAGGGGGATTATATAGTTCAGGGGATCTCAAATTTTAGCATGCATCACACTCACCTGGGAGGCTTATTAAACATAAATTTCTGGGCCCCTTTCCCAAAGTTTGTCATTCAGTAGATCTGGGATGGGGTTAGAGAACTTTCATTTTTAAAAGTAACTGGGTGACACTATTAGTCCAGAGTTCAAATGTTAAGAACCACCACAGCCACAATGTAATTGTGAAGTGAAATGTTATGCATTTTAAATAACAGATTATTAATAATATTGCTGCCATAAGAAATATTTATAACTGCAAATAACATTTTTATATGAAATCCATCACCTTAGGCCTATCGATAGAATTTCCTAAAAAATAAGGCCTCTCTTTAAGGAATTCTTCCAATATTTCTGGTTGTATAACAAGCCTCCAGTAAGCATACAGCATGGACTTGCAAAGCCAATACCCTTTTTGATGTGTCTTTAGTTAAGACATAGGAGAAGAATACTAATAACTTAATAACTTGCGAAGAGGAAAGATATATAGCTCAGGATTTTATAAACAACTTATTGATTTTTAAAGAAGAATCATAATAAGGATAGTAAAATGCATTAATCATTTAAAATTTACAAAAGTAAGTTGTTTTATTGAAAAGAAATATTAACATTTTTTCATACACATACATAGTCTCTGACTACATATCCCACTGCCCATGGTTAAAATTATATATTTTACTCAAGCCCATGGGCCCATGTACTATATTATAATGTTTTGTGTATTAGGTAAATTATAATTTTGAAGGATTCGTGTATTTAAAATATAGCTTAAAATATTTATGTGCATTATCACACATCTTCTATGTGGTAAGAACAATTATTTTAAATAGGTTAAATGCAACATCTAATCTTATTGCTAAAACAAATTTTATACTATCTTATTAATATTTAACAATTTAAACTCTGCCTTAGATCTTTCACAAAATACAGCTATCAGTATTCTTAAAAAACAAAATTAAAAGAACTACCTCTATTAAAATATTTTATTTAAATACTTTATTAATATATGCTTTAACAGTTTAATGCCTGCATTGTTATTATTACCTACATATATGTTCTTAACAGTCAGTCATATACGTCATATATGGAAATAAACAAAAACTATCTGTCTTAGTTCATTTGGGCTGCTATAAGAAAATCCCATAGAGACAGTAGCTTATAAATAGAGGAAATTTATTAGTTACAGTTCTGGAGGCTGGAAATTCCAAGATCAAGATGCTGAAAGATTCAGTGTCTGGTGAGGGCCCACTTCCCGACTCAAAGATACTGACTCCTCACTGTTTCCTCACATGGTTGAAAAATCAAGGCAACTTTCTGGGTTCTCTTTTATTAGGGCACTAAACTATTCATGATTGCTCCACCCTCACAATCTAATCATCTCCCAAAGTCTCTGCCTCCTTACATTATCACCTTGGTGATTAGGTTTTCAACATATGAACTTTTGGGGAACCTAAACATTCACACCAGAGCAAAACCCAAATGAGAACACAGGCTATTTATTTAGAGCTTTCAACAGCAAAGAAGATAGTCAACATCACTTGTGTTTAACAAAGACTCAAAGGCCGACTGGGGGAAGAAGACCAAACTTTATAGTGAAGGAAAAGAAGCCTTCAGGTTCTTTTTCTGATTGTAGGTTAGCATGAAGAAGTAGTAGGTGGACTAACTAAAAGTTGCTAATTTATGTGAATGGTTTGGGAAGCATATTTGACTTTCCCTAGTTGGTCCTGAATTGAAAGCAGAGGCAAATATAGGTAAGTTGGCAGTTATTGACCCAGTCCTGGATATTTTGGACTAATTGCTACAGAAGTTATAGTTTGGCTTCCCAGATAAAAGAGTTTGTAGATCAGAGTTCTGCTTTCATCTATGGTCTGGTCACTATCCATTTGTATATTCAATAAGTTATCCATATTATATTTAAACAATAGGGATCCTACATCTTCATGTAAACCTACTATCAGCAATAGATGAACTCCTAAGGGTGCACCCAGAGCTAATAAAATTATCTTTGTTGGTATTCCACAATATAAATCCTGATTAAATGAATAAGATGGGTGCTCAAATAGTGACTTTTAATCCAGCATAATATGCTGTACACACATAATGCTGATCTGAATAAAATGTACTTGTTCACTCAACAAATATTCATTGAGCACCACAGTGTTTGTCAAATCCTATGCAATTTAAAATACTGCTCTGACACTTACTTTACCTTCTTGTACTAGAATCTGGCTTTCCCTTGTGGGGGTTCCCTGAAGATCTCATAATTGGGTTTTTTTTATACTTAAGCTCTGGGGTATATATGCAGAATGTGCAGGTTTGTTACACAGGTATACATGTGCCATGGTGGTTTGCTGCACCTATCAACCCGTCATCTAGGTTTTAAGCCCCACATGCATTAGGTAATTGTCCTAATGCTCTCCATCCCCTTACTTCCCATCCCCTGCTAGGCCCCAGTGTGTAATGTTACCCTCCCTTCGTCAATGTGTTCTCATTGTTCAACTCCCACTTATGAGTGAGAACATGCAGTGTTTGGTTTTCTGTTCCTGTGTTAGTTTGCTGAGAAGGATGGTTTCCAGCTACATCCACGTCCCTGCAAAGGACATGAACTCATCCTTTTTTATGGCTGCATAGTATTCTATGGTGTATATGTGCCACATTTTCTTTATCCTGGATTTGGGTTGGTTCCAAGTCTTTGCTATTGTTAATAGTGCTGCCATAAACATTCATGTACATATGTCTTCATAGTAGAATGATTTATATTCCTTTGGGTATATACCCAGTAATGGGATTGCTGGGTCAAATGGTATTTCTGGTTCTAGATCCTTGAGGAATCGCCACACTGTCTTCCACAATGGTTGAACTAATTTATGCTCCCACCAATAGTGTAAAAGTGTTCCTATTTCTCCATATCCTCTCCAGCATCTGTTGTTTCCTGACTTTTTAATGATTGTCATTCTAACTGGCATGAGATGGTATCTCATTGTGGCTTTAATTTGCACTTCTCTAACGACCAGTGATGATGAACTTTTTTTCATATGTTTGTTGGCAGCATACATGTCTTCTTTTGAGAAGTGTCTGTTCATATCCTTCACCCACTTTTTGATGGGGTTGTTTGCTTTTTTTCTTGTAAATTTGTTTAAGTTCCTTGTAGGGTATGGATATTAGACCTTTGACAGATGGATAGATTGCCAAAATTTTATCCCATTCTGTAGGTTGCCTGTTCACTCTGATGGTAGTTTATTTTGCTGTTCAGAAGTTCTTTAGTTTAATTAGATCCCATTTGTCAATTTCGGCTTTTGTTGTAATTTCTTTTGGTGTTTTAGTCATGAAGTCTTTGCCCATGCCTATGTCCTGAACGGTATTGGCTAGGTTTTCTTCTTTTATTGTTTTCAGTCTTACATTTAAGTCTTTAATCCATCTTGAATTAATTTTTGTATAAGGTGTAAAGAAGGGGTCCAGTTTCAGTTTTCTGCATATGGCTAGCCAGTTTTCCCAGCACCATTTATTAAACAGGGAATCCTTTCCCTATTGCCTGTTTTTGTCAGGTTTGTCGAAGATTGAATGGTTGTAGATGTGTAGTGCTATTTCTGAGCCTTCTGTTCTGTTCCACTGGTCTATATATCTGCTTTGGTACCAGTACCATGCTGTTTTGGTTACTGTAGCATAGTTTGAAATCAGGTAGCATGATGCCTCCAGCTTTGTTCTTTTTGCTTAGGATTGTCTTGGCTACAAGGAGCCTTTTTTGTTTTCATATGAAATTTAAAGTAGTTTTTACTAATTCTGTGAAGAAAGTCAATGGTAGCTTGAAGGGAATAGCACTGAATCTATTAATTACTTTGGGCAGTATGGCGATTTTCATGATATTGAGTCTTCCTATCCATGAGCATGGAATGTTCATACCAGAATTTCTGGGACACAGCTAAAGCAGTGTTTAGAGGGAAATTTATAGCACTAAATGCCCACATCAGAAAGTGGGAAGATCTAAAATCGACACCCTAACATCACAATTAAAAGAAGTAGAGAAACAAGAGCAAATAAATTCAAAAGCTAGCAGAAGACAATAAATAACTAAGATCAGAGCAGAACTGAAGGAGACAGAGACATAAAAACCCTTCAAAAAATCAATGAATCCAGTAGCTGGTTTTTTGAAAAGATTAATAATTGGGGTTTTCAACTGCTACATCCTAGACCTGTAGATGAGTAATTGATGACCTTGCCTCTCATTGCTGCATTCAAATCACCATTCTTGCCTTCTCCCTGATGAAACTTCCCTGCTCTTTGTGTCAGACTGCACCATTTGCTTCCAAACCTGTACCTGCCAACTACAGACTGGCTTTTATATTCCTTCAGGATATTAGCACCTTGTTCAAATACTCTCTTGCATCTTCCATTTTTTTTTTATTTGTGATTTCACAATTCAAATAAACAATGCACCCATTACCTTCATTTTCTTGCTTCAAATAACTTGAGAAATGTGCATGTGTTTTCATGTATGTGTGTATCTGTCGAATGATTTCAATGTGTAGGTGAAGATGCAAACTTGTATCTTAAGCCAGATGTTCTCCTTGACAGCATCTTGGACGTTTTTTTATGAATCAGTGTCAGCCACGCATCATGGCTCATGCCTGTAATTCCAGCACTCTGGGTGGCTGAGGCAGGCAGATCTCTTGAGCTCAGGAGTTCAAGACCAGCCTTAGGCAACATGGTAAAACCCCAACTCTAAAAAACGGAAATGCAAAAATTAGCCAGGCATGGTGGTGCACACCTGTAGTCCCAGCTACTCAGGAGGATGAGGTGGTAGGATCACTTCAGCCCAGGAAATCGAGGTTGCAGTGAGCTAAGATCACGCTCTCACTCACTGAACTCCAGCCTGGGGCAACAGAGCAAGGTCCTGTCTGAAAATTATATATATATATATGCATATGTGTGTGTGTGTGTGTGTGTGTGTGTGTGTGTATGTATAAGTCCTGGTTCTCCAGCCCAGATCAATTAATGTCATCATTTTTTAAAATGGGGGAAGACAACAGTGTTCTTTAAAATAAAGGAAGAAAGGCAAGGAAGAAGGAATACATAAATATATGTTTTGTTTTGATAGATGAATAAATACACAGATTATTTAATTAATTAAAATAGAATTTCCTGAGGGATTATAAAAAGTTGAAAAATGGCTCCACTCTTGACTTTTCCACTGTGAATAGCTTCCCCACTCTGATTTTTTTTCTTATCTGTCCCTATTAAATCTCATTTCCCTCAAATAGCCTGATATCACTAACTCTTTAACCACATAGACACTTTTAATTTGTTGACCCTTCTCCTTTGTATTCTCATTTTCCTCCCTAACCAATTTAGATTCCAAGTCCATCATTTAACTAACTCCCTTAACAAAAAAATTCTTAATTCTTGTCCCACTATCTTTCCCTAACTTAATGATGAATTGCTCTTTCTCCATTTGTTTGTACCATCACCTCTTGCTCGCTCTAGAATATTATTTCTGCAGTTGTCTGCACATTCATCATTAATCTCATTCATCATTAATGTCTTCTTCACTGGATAATTTCTGTCATTAAATATTTTTGTGATAATTCTGGCATTTAACAATAATCTCTATTCGCATCTTTCTTCAGTTATCACTGCCTTATCTACTTCTTTTTATGACAAAATTTTTAAATGCTGTCTCCATTTGTTATTCTTACATCCTTTTTTTAATTCTCCCTAATCACCAAATCACCAAATCAAGGTCAGTAGTGACTTCTACATGAAAAGGTTCAATGGCCACTTTTAATTATTATATTATTATGCCTATTAACTAACATTTGAAGTAGCTGATCACTCCTTTCTTCTAGAAATACTGTCACTGCATTATGTGATACCATATACCTTTTTCCTCCTTCCTCACTTAGCCTCCTACTTCAGTGTCTCCTTTGCTGAATTTTTATTTTCTTCCCAAACTCTAAATACAGAAGATCTGTCCTGGGATATCTTCTTTCAATTATCTACCCCCATTCCTTAGGTGATCCTAGACTTTCTCCTTGTTTATATTCCACCTTTACACTTATGACTCACAATTTAGTTTCTCCAGTCTTTCCTCTGAACTTAAGGCTCTTAGATCCATCTGCCTCCTTTATTTATTCTCTTGGATGCCTCAAATTTAACATGTCCAAAACCAAACGCTTTATTTTTCTTCCCTGTTTGTTCCTCACTCTTCCTTTTCTCAGTAAATAAGAATGGCACTTTTCCAGTTCTCAGAATTTAAAAATTGCGTTTTTTTAAAAAATTACGGCCAATTTATTATATACTATCAAAATTATTTTAAAAGCTTTTTTGAGGTATAACTGATATGCAAAACCTGCACACATTTAATACAATTTGATCAGTTTGGACATATTCATAAACCTGTGAAATCATCACCATAATCAATGTAATAGATATTTCCATCACCTCCAAAAGTTTTGATGTATCTCTTTTGCTTTTCTTTTTGTGGTAAGAACGTTTAACATGAGGTCTATCCTCGTAAACGTTTAAGCATCCAATACGTCATTAACCACAGGCACTATGTTGTACAGCAGATCTTTAGAACTTCATTCATCTCGTACAAATGAAAACTTGTACCCATTAAACGACAAATCCCCATGTCCTCATCCCACTAGCCCATGGAAACCACCATTCTATTTTCTACTTAATTTAAAATGATTCCTCGTGTAACTGGAATCTTGCAGTATTTGTCCCATGTCACACATACCTCACTTAGCATAATGTCTTCCAGGTTCTCCATGTTGTCATAAATGGTAGGATTTCCTTCATATTTAAGGCTAAGTTCTTAAGAGCCCAATATGCAAACAACACAAATGTTCACTGAAAGATGAATGCAGAATGGATAAAGAAAGTGTAGTTTTATACCCCAATCCATAAGCACATTTTGCTGTTACTTCCTTCAGAACATACCCCAATTCTGATCACATTTTACCTATTCCACTGCCCAAACCATGTGTTACTGGTGGAGGGTGACCAGATTCTTGGCATTTGAATAAAGAATAGGACAAAACGCACAAACAAAGCAAGGAAAGAATGAAACAACAAAAGCAGAGACTTACTGAAAACAGAAGCACATTCCACAGGGTGGGAGTGTGCCTGAGCAAGTGGCTCAAGAGCCAGGTTACAGAATTTTCTGGGGTTTAAATATCCTATAGAGGTTTCCCATTGGTTACTTGGTGTACACCCTATATAAACGAAGAGGATGAAGTGAAGTTACAAAGTTATTTACTTGGTGTACGCCCTATGCAAATGAAGAGGATGTTTCCTGTCATAGCTGAAGTTACAAAGTTATTCACTCAGTCTTAGAAAGTTGGGGTTTTTTCCATTTGATTTAGTTCTAGGAAGTCCTGGCCCCCAGAGCCTATTCTGCCTCAATGGCACCATCATCTCTGACCTGGACCATTCAGCATCCTTCTAACTAGTTCTTGTTCTACTTTTACACCTGTGTCATGCTGTTCTCCACGCATTAGTCAGAGTGACTCTTGCCCAATATAAATAAAATCAATCATTGCTCTCTACAGAAACTTCTGATGCTATCACCTTTTTAAATAAATACAATATAAATGTTTAACATGGTCCCTGAATATCTCACTTACGATTTTGTATTGCAGCCCCTTCTCTCCAGGCTTAATGAAATTTTTCTTGCTCTTTGAACATGACAAAAACCTCAGGGATTTTGCATATGCTATTCCTTGTCTGGAAGGCTCTTCTCCCAGATGTCTCAATGACTTCCTCCCTCACTTTATTCATACTAGTACTGAAACAGCACCTCCCAAGAACACTTTCTCTGACTGCCATGTTTATTTTTTTAATATTATTTTTTTGAGATAGGGTCTCACTCTGTTGCACAGGCTGGAGTGAGATGGCATGATCACAGCTCACTGTAGCCTCGAACTCCTGGACTCAGGCAATCCTCCCACCTCAGTTTCCCAAGTAGCTGCGACTACAGGTGAGCACCATGACACCTGGCTAATTTTTTTTTTTTTTTTTTTTTTTTTGTTGAGATGGGATTTTGCCAAGTTGCCAAGGGTGGTTTCAAACTCCTGGCCTTAAGCAATTCTCCCATCTCAGACTCCCCAAGTGATGGGATTACAGGCAAGAGCCACGGCACCTGACTTGACTACCATGTTTAAAAGATCACCTTCCATCACTCTCCATCCTCTCCCTATGTTACAATTTATTGTAGATTTTTGTCATTTTATTTACCTACTTATATGATGTGTCTTTGCTGTTCCTGATGAAAATGTAAAATTGATAGAAGCAAAGGTTTTGTCTATTTTATCTGTTGCAACATTTTGGAGTCTAAACCATGACTGCCACATAGTAGATATTCATAGCAGATATTCAAATAAACACAAAGATATGGATAAAGGAGCATTAACTATAAGCCAGGCTTTTGTTCTGGACCTGCCCTCTTGCAACATGTGTTGAATATCAAAGAGAAAATAAACAACCAAAACAAAAGCCAGATAATTACAGATGGTGATAAGTGCTGCGAAAGAAATGCAGTAAGTGATGTGTTTTGCAGTGACTGAGTGAGACAGCCTGAAGTGGGCCGAGCAAGGCATTTCTGAGGAAGTGATATTTAACGAGAGCCTGAAGGTTAAGAAGTTAACCTCTGAAAAAGCTAAAGGAAAAATACTTCCATAGAGGAAATCATAAATATCCGAGTCCTGTATTAAAAAAAAATCAAATGCTATGCAGCTGACTTAAGACAGTAAGACTACCAAAGAGAAGCCGTATGAATAAATGCATGAGTAAACCCGAGAATAAATTGATCTAACAGCAAGGAAAGAGATGTACTTAAGAGTATTTGTACAATGATCTAAGCCTATGGTAAGATTTAATTTTCTGATGATCCCGAGAATTACCTTTGCCCTCAAAGCCAAAATATAACCCTGACCTTTGCCCAAAAATAACTAATTTGCTTGTATCACATGGGCTAAGCTATTACACACTCATTCTTTTATTTTTTATTT